>NC_000006.12:97343517-97495032 GCF_000001405.40 Homo sapiens | reverse complement strand
CCTGTGAGGGCATAGATCAACACCCATGCAGTTAGCCCTGCTATCTTGCTTTCTGCAGTTGAATTTCTCTGGTGTAATCCCATGTGGGCATCTGTTCAACTAAACCTGAAAATATGTGAGTTAACACCTTTAAGAAACTCTAGAACAGTGGAGAATGGAAGCTAGTAGATAAATGCTCCCTGTTTTCATCCCCCGGATGTACAATTCTGAGGTAGATTCTACAGAGCTCATCAGGAGTCTTTAGTAAGACAGGGTGCTAATTGCCCCGGTGGACCCAGCTTGATAAGGCATCCAGATCATTGCTCTCTCCTTGCTTGTTTCACTTTTCTCAGCAGCTCATTCTTGTTCCTTAGGATCACCTCCCAAAGTAAGCAACCAGCATGAGAGCCCTGTCTCAGGATCTGTTCTGGGGGAAGACCTAGGCTAAGATAGAATAGAAGACAGGTTCAGTGGGTGAGTTTGGAATGAGAATAGGCTAGGAGACCAATTTGAAAGCTATAGTAACAGTTACAAGGAGATGGCAAAAAAAAAAAAAGATTATTTCAGAAATTAAAGAGCAGGATCAAAATTGGTAACTAATTGGATATGGAAGGTGAAAAAGAAAATTTAAATATAACTAAAAGGTTTCTTGTTTGAATAAATAATGGATGGTGATACCATTGACCAAATTAAGGAACTTGGAAGAAAAATCGAAGTATAAAAATAACAAATTTGATTTTGGAGCTGTTGGGCTTGAAGTGCCTCAAGGGTGATCTTTCCGTGAAAATGTATCAGCAGCCAGTTATACTTGAGTATGAAGTCCGTAAACAAATCTAGGTAAAGACACAGGGATGAATATAACTATAAATGCACAAATAAATAGTTATTGAGTACAGAAATAGAGAAAATTTTCTCAAAAATTATTATAATGGCATCCATTCTTTATTTTTACTACTTAAGCTCCTGCTGGCAACCTATTATGTTAAAATATTCCTGTAAGAATTTAAATACAATGGAAAGAAAACCCAAATCAACCAATTACTATATTAAATTATATAAGTGTGAAGAGCTTCCAAAATCAATATTTAAAAATCTCAAGGTTATTATATTCCTTTTTTGACATTATTCTATATTTTCAAATGACATAATCTATTTGAGAATTTAAAGAAATTTAAAATGTTATTAGGAAACTAAAACATTAATACTACTAAACTCTGGGGAACTGCCAAAATTGCTAAGCTTCCAAAGGTTTTCCATCTGACCCCAGATATTTGGCCAAGAACTATAAGGGCAATTTTTTCTTTAAGTAACATTTACTGTAAAAGTCATGCAATCTTTCATTGGTACAGGAAATAGCAAGTTGGTTTTAAGGTAATAGCTCTAAATCAGCTATACCTGAAATCATCAAATTTGGCTTTATTGATCTGTCTTGAGCAGAATTAAAATCTATTTGGATATTTAGGAGTTGACCTTCATTTGCAATGTATTATTCACATATCTATTCTCTTTAAAGTTCTATCTTTGGGATTGCATGTACTTTCAGGATAACCAGGCTTTTCTGTAGGTAGAGCTGTCCAAATGAATCATAAAGAAGTGATGGTGGCATGGAATATAAGGTGCCTTGTTATTCCTAACAACAAATATATGCAACCTCCTAGAGGTGGTCAAAAGCAGGACAAGATACCCCAGTTGAAAAATTCAGAAAGATGCCCTAGCTGAAATAGGAACAAGAGTAGGCCTGAACCAATATACAGCCTCAAGAAAAACTGTCCCAAAGCCTGTGAAACATAGCCAATTGTCACTTTCATAAGCAACAGCATTTTCAGAAACTTTAGCTTCAACATCTAGGATGAATTTGAACCTCTTTCTGCATAATAAAATTACCCTCTTCATTTACAAATAGTTGTAAATCCTAGTTACACCAGTGTGGCTTTTAGCAATTTTCATAACTTTTTGAACTCCAGTTTCTTTATCTGTAAAAATTGGAATTGTAATGCCAATTTTGAAGAGTTTGGAATTAAATAAATAAAGAAAAAGGAATTTGAAGAACAATGCTAAGTACATGATCAATAAACACTAGCTTTTTTCCTATTATATTTCATCTTATTTAGAGTTAATTGGATTTTTTGTCAAACACACCTGTCAATAATAAGTTTTTAATTGGCAGAAGATATATCCCACCTAGTAATAGTTAACTAATGGTAGTTAACAAATAAATGCATTTTAAATTAAAACAGTTTGACAGGGAAAAAGAAAATGAATCACAATTAGATGAGCTGGTGTTAAGACTAAGTTCTTAAGTCATCACAGTGTTTACAGAAAACTAATAAATTTTTAAAAAGACTAAGTTCTTGACTGGACATTCTATTGTTATTGTTGATTATAACAATAATATCAGATACTTATTTAAGATGTCAAATACTTATTTAATATTTATTATGCACCACACATTTTCTTTATGCTTGTCAAATTACTTAATCTTTCCGTCATTCTCAATTTATATAGGAGGCTATGGAGGCACACAGAGGCTAAGCAACTTTCCTAAAAATCACATGGCTATAAAAGAAAGATCAAGATTTAAACTGAGGATGCCTTGCTCCAAATCATACCTTTAACTACTATACTATAATATCTGGCACAGGTATTGCCTGTGAACTACCTGCCCATCTAACAGATTTGTTAACAATAAGATTTTATAATTATAAAGATATTAAAGTTTCCTGTTTTAATAAAAATTTGAGTTATGCATCTAAAAATACAAAATTAATCCTAACACGTCAAATACTAGGATACTATATAGTTAAAGTAAATAAGTCATTCATCTGCTTTTGTTTGATTTTTCAAAGAAACGAACTTTCATAGATGTTACATTCTCACAAAGCATGTAGTGTTCAACGTTACTTCAAACATGTAGGATCAATTAGGTGGATTTCTTTATGGTGGTAGTTAGTAGAAGAGTAAGTAATCAAATAAAATACTCACTTCTGCACAAATATTTTTAAAAGATGGGAGAGAAAAATCTACATTAAACAAATGGAAAAAAATTTATATTCCTGGAAGTCTGAAAATTAAAAGACATGAATATATTCTTTAAAATCTCTATCTGGCCAAACTGGAAGCATGAATTCTCCCCCAAAATGATCTCATACAAAAAAAGAATGTTGCACTGTATTAGAGGGCTTTTAAAATATTTTTATTAAATGGAATTCAATATTTATTTTAAGCAACTAAGTGTAGTTTGGAGAAGACACATTAGTCTGTAATCAATGCTAATTTGCGATGCTTAAATCATGAGATTGATATTTAAAAAGCAACAAAAAAGAAAAAAGACAAAAAAATAAAATATTAAATGTGGATTCAGTACTTCTATCTGGAATAAGAGCTTACAATTCAAACAGAAACAAGTTTTTTAAAGACCATGTTACAAAAAAAAATGCAACACTTACATATACAAAGTGGTGTATTGATAAGTATATAATAAATAGGGTGAATAAAAATAAAAACTTTTATAATGTTTATAAAATGTTAAAATATTTTATAAATATTTACCTGTAGCTTGGAATAACATTTTTAGAGACAGTATCATATGCTGATTCCAAGATCGCTGTATCTCAAACAACTTTAAAAATAAGCTACTTTGGAAATCGTTGAATGGAAAATGGTATTCGATGACAAAAAAAAATAGGTTAAAGTGTTGATACAGACATAGAAGAGGTAAATAACTGAAGTAAATCTGAATACAATAATTCCATGATGTATGAATGGAAAAAAAGCAACTTTATCAGTTAATGCTTTAAAAAATGAGATTTTAAATAGAAACAAAAAACCAAATTTCTAACTGAAATACTATATGTGGATATTACGTGATCTGACTTATATGCATAGAAGTTTAAAATAATAAGTAAGCCAAAAACTTCCGGGGGATCTTTTTATTAAGAAGGTGGAAATTGTCTTGTATCGTCCACTAGAGGCTGACTTTTATTTTAAATGAATGAAGAAAATGAGGAAGATAATGGAGCTTCAAGGTCCTTAAGGATACCACAGATCACACCAGGATGTTATGGAATGATCTGTTTGGATCAGTAAAATGAGCAAAGGGAAATATTTGTTTAATCATTTTAATTATCGGAGGAAGTAATTGAGCCTAAAGATCCCAACCACTTCTTTAATTTCTTACTGTCCATATGACCAATACGGTCTTGACAACACTGATACCAAACTTTTGTAATGCTATTTACCGACAAAAGTGGATCTCATGATTTCTATCAACTTATTTTTTCTTTTTCTTTTTCTTTTCTTTTCTTTTTTTTTTTTTTTTTTTTTTTTTTTTTGAGACAGAGTCTCCCTCTGTCCCCCAGGCTGGAGTGCAGTGGCGCAATCTCGGCTCGCTGCAAGCTCAGGCTCCCGGGTTCACGCTGTTCTGCCTCCGCCTCCCAAGTAGCTGGGACTACAGGCGCCCGCCACCACGCCCATCTAATTTTTCTGTATTTTTAGTAGAGAGGGGTTTCACCGTGTTAGCCAGGATGCTCTCGATCTCCTGACTTCGTGATTCGCCCGCCACGGCCTCCCAAAGTGCTGGGATTACAGGTGTGAGCCACCGTGCCGGGCCTATTTTTTCTATTTTTAAGGTTTCTGATTAAGAACTCTTGGGAAGGATCACATTATCTAATTATCTTTCCAAAACCCAAGCAAGACCGTGGATAACTCATTTCATTCACTTATTATGCAAATAATGATTGAGGTTTTACTAAGGACCAGACACTGTTCTAGGTACAAGGGATATAGCAACAAATGAGAAAGGCCAGATAGCTGCCTTCACTGAGCTTATGTTTAAGGGAGAAGAGACAGATAATAAATGCTAAATATACAAATAAATAAGAATGTCAAATACTGAACAGTTCTGGAAAAAAATAAAACATAATAAGGGGGTAAAAAGTCATTGGGGCAGAAATGAAGGTGAGTAAACTGGGAATAACTCTATCAATTACATTTGAGCTAAGATATAATTGATGAGAAAGAGCCAGTAATAGAAAGAATCAAGTAAAAAGGCCCTAAGATTAGAGTGTTCGAGGTACATAAAAAGGCCTGTGTAGTTAGAGCATAGTGGGCAAGTAAGAAATTAATAGAAAACAATGTCAGATATAGAAAGGCTCTTTATACACTGGGCCTTGTAGGCCTTGGTAAGGAAACTGGATTCTATGCAAAATTTAACGTGGAGGCATAATTGGAATTTAAGCAAATGATTAATATGATCTGATTTACTTTTTAAAAATAAAAACGATTAATTCTAACATAATTAATATATAAATAATACTAATCCTTCACAAACTTTCAGAAAGAGAATACTTCCCAAACTATCCTATTATCAAAATCAGACAAAGACATTACAAGAAAAGAAAATTACAAACCATTATCCCTCATGAACTTAGAAGCAAAAATCCCAACAAAATATTAGCAAAGTGAATCTAGCAACATACAAAAAATTTTACTTTTGATTATACTTATGACTAAATTGGATTTATAACAGGAATGCAAAATTGGTTTAATATATGAAAACTGCTTAAAGTAACACGCCATGTTAGTAGAATAAAGGACAAAAATTATATTGATTGATGCAGAAAAGTTCTTAGCAAATTCCAACAACCATTCATAATGAAAAATATTCAATAAATCAGAAATACAAGAGAATTTTCTCAAACCGATAAACAGCAACTATAAAAAGCCTACAGCTAACATCATTCTTAATGATGCAAGAGTAAATACTTTCCCATTGAGGTTGGGAAGAAGGCAAGGTACTCAAACTCACCAATGCCATTCAACATTTTATTTATTTGAGGTACCAGCCAGTACAATAAAGCAAACATGAGAGTGAGAAGGGGAAAGAGAGAAGTAGAAGGCACATAAATTGAAAAGGAAGAAGTAAAACTGTTTTTGAAGACAGATGAAATAATCTTGTATATAAAAAATTTTAAGGACAAAAAACTAACAAATAACTTCAGCAAGGTCATGGGTCACAAATTCAAAAAATTAATTTTATTTATATATACTAACAATGAGGAACCCAAAAATAAATTCAGGAAACAATTTCATACACAAGCATAAAAATGAATAAATAAATTTAAGAAAAGAAGTGCAAAATTTGTACATTTCAAATCATAAAGCATGTAGAAAGTCCGAAAGAGTAAACAAAAAACAACTGCTAAAACCAAGGTTGTAGAATACAAGGTTAATATACAAAAATCAATCACTTGCTTACATACCAGTAATAAAGAAATAGAATGTGAAGTTAAAAACCGAATATCATTTTCATTAACACCCCAAAATTGAAACATTTTAGTATAAATCTAACAAAAATATGTGCAAGATTTTTATGAGAAAAACTACAAAACTGATGAAAGAAACTATATAAATGGAGAGTTGCTAATATTCATGGATTGGAAGACTCAATTTTGTCAAGATGTCAGTTTTCCCAACGTGATCTGTAGATGCAATGCAATCATAATCAAAATCTGAGCAAGTTATTTTATGGATATCAACAAATTGATACTAAAGTTTATGTGTAGAGGCAAAACCTCAGAATAGCCAACACAATATTGAAGGAGAAGAACAAAATTGGAGAATTGCCATTACCTAACTTCAATATCTACTGCAAAACTATAGTAATGAAGACAGTGTAGTATTAAAAAAACAGGCAAAATAGTTCAATTGAACAGAATAGAGAGCCCAGAAAAAGACCCACAAAAAAATAATCAACTCATCTTTGACAAATGAGCAAGGCAATACAATGGAGCAAAGACAGTCTTTTCAACAAATGGTGCTGAACCAACTGGATATCAACATGCAAAAAAAAAAAAAAAAAAAAAACTAGATACAGACCTTGCACGTTTCACAAAAATTAATTCCAAATGGGTCATAGATCTAAATGTGAAATACAAAACTTTATATAAAACCCCTAGAAGATAACATGGGAGAAAATTTAAATGACCTTGGATTTGGTCATGATTTTGTAGATACACCACAAGGGTACAACCCATGAAAGAAAGACTTAATAAGCTGTACTTTATCAAAAGTAAAAACATCAGCTCTGCAAAAGACATTGTTAATAGAAAGAAAAAACAAGCCACAGACCAAGAAAAAATATTTTAAAAAGACATATCTGATAAAGGACTATTATTCAAAATATACAAGGAACTCTTAAACTTTAATAATAAGAAAATAAAAAACTGATTTTTAAATGTAGGACAAAGATCTTAACAGACACCCCACCAAAGAAAATATACAATTGGCAAATAAGAATACAAAAAAAATTGCTTCATATCATGTGATTAGGGAAATGCAAATTAAAACAACAATGAGATACCACTGCATACCTATTAAAATGGCTAAAATCCAGACACTAACACACCAAATGCTAGTCAGAATGTGGAGCAACAGGAATTTTATTAATTGCTGGTGGGAACGCAAAATGGCACAGCCCTTTGGAAGACAGTTTGGCAGTTTCTTACAAAACTAAACATACATTTATCATAAGACCCAGCAATCAAACTCCTTGGTCTATACTCAAAAAAACTGAAATCTTTATGTTCACATGAAAACCTGCAGATGGATGTTCATAACTGACAAAACGTAGAGATAATCAAGATATCATTCAGAAGATAATAAAGATCAGAGCTGAAATAAATGAAATAGAGATATGAGAAACAATAGAAAAGTTTAATGAAACTGAGTTCATTTTTTGAAAACATAACTGAAATCAACAAAACTTAAGCTATACTAATAAAAAAAAGAGAAGACTCAAATAAAAAAATCAGAAGTGGAAGAGGAGACAATACAATTGATGCAGGATCATAAGAGTCTACTATGAACAATTACATGCCAAGAAATTGAGTACCCTAGAAGAAACAGATAAATTCATAGAAACATACAACATGTCACTCTAAATCACTAAGAAATAGAAAACCTGAACAGACCTAGGGCAATTAAAGAGACCAAATCAGTTTCTTTTAAAAAGTTTCACTGCTGAGTTCTACCAAACAGTTAAAGAAGCAGCAGTGCAAATTCTTCTTAAATTCAAAAATTGAAGAAGAGAGAATATTTCCAAACTCCTTTTACGAAGCAAGCATTACCCAGATACTGAAAAAAAGAAAATTACAGACAAATATTCCTTATGAACATAGATGCAAAAATCTTCAACAAAATACTAGAAACTGAATTTAGCAGCACATTAAAAGGATCACTCACCATAATTAAATGGGATTTATCCCTGACATGTAAGGATGATTCAACAAAATCATATCAATAAATATGTTACACCACATTAACAGAATGAAGGACAAAAACCATATGTTCATCTCAATAGATGCAGAAAAATTATGACATAATTCAACCTACTTTCATAATAAAAACTATCAGAAAATTGGATATAAGAAGGAACATACTTCATCACAATAGAGACCATACATAACAAACCCACAGAGAACAACATACTTAACAGTGTAAACTTGAAAGCTTTTCCTCTAAGATCAGGAACAAGATAAGAATGCCAGTTCACACCACATCTATTCACCATAGTACTGGAAGTCCTAGCCAGAGCAATTAGACAAGAGAAAGACATAAAAGGTATCGAAATTGGAAAGGAAGAAGTTAAACTGTGTCTGTCTGCAGACCATATGATCTTAAAGACTTCACCATAAAGACTCTGCCAAAAAAACTGTTAGAACTAATAAACTTTACTTTATTAGTAAAGTTAACTTTATTATCCTACAACTTTACT
Source organism: Homo sapiens (assembly GCF_000001405.40). Taxonomy (NCBI): domain Eukaryota; kingdom Metazoa; phylum Chordata; class Mammalia; order Primates; family Hominidae; genus Homo; species Homo sapiens. Next base: position 97,486,280 of record NC_000006.12, on the reverse strand, counting down.
GAAATCAGTAAAGTTTCACAAAATGAACAAAAAGAACATAAAGCATTTCTATACAATAACAACAAACTATATGAAAAAGAAATCAAGAAACAATCCCATTTACAATAGCTAAGAAAATTAAAATACTTAGGAATAAATCTAACCAAGAAAGTGAAAGATCTTTACATTTAAAATTAGAAAACAATGATGAAATAAATTGAAGAAAGCACAAATAAATGGAAAGACATCTTGTATTTATGGATTGGGAGATTTAATATTTTTTAAATGTCCCAGCTACCCAAAGCAATCTACAGCTTCAATGCAATCCCTAACAAAACTCCAATACGTTTTTCACAGAAATAGAAAAGCAATTTTAAAAGTTGTATGGAACCACAAAAGACACTGAATAGCCAAAGCAATAGTGAACAAAAAGAATAAAGCTAGAAGCATCACACTCTCTGATAAGAAATATACTACAAAACTTCTGTAATCAAAACATCATGGTACATAAATAAAAAAGACACATAGACTAATGAAACAGGACAGAGAACCCAGAAATAAGTCCGTGTATTTATATTCAATTGATTTTTTACAAAGATGCCACGAACATACAATGGGAAGAGGATAATGTCTCATAAGTGGTGGTGGGAAAAGAGAATATTCACATGCAGAAGAATAAAGTTAGACCCTATCTCAATCATCTACAAAAATCAACTCTAAATACTAGAAGAAAACATAGTAGGAAAACTCCACAACACTGGTCTGAACAATTTTTTTCTATGACCCCAAAAACATAGGCAACAAAAGCAAAAACTGACAAGTAAGATTACATCAAACTAAAAAGCTTCTGCAGATTAAAGGAAATAATCAAAGCTGTGAAGAGACAACCCACAGAATGGGAGAAAATATTTGCAAGCTGTGTATCCAGTAAGGGCTAAATATCCAAAACATATAACAACTCAAACAACCCAATTAAAAAAAAATCAAATAACCAGATTTTAAATATGCAAAAGATCTGAACAGATATTTCTCAAAAGAAAATACACAAATGGCCAAGGGACATATGAAAAAATGCTCATCATCATTGTTCATCACATTCACATACATTACAGTATATTTTAATAATTGTTCTATTTTATTACTAGTTATTGTTGTTAATCTCTTAACATGCCTAATTTATAAATTAAACTTTATGATAGTTATGTACATATTGGAAAATATATACAAGAGGTTGTGCATTCCAAATCTGTAAATCCAACATCTGAAATGTTCCAAAATTTGAAACTTTTTGAACACTGAAATGATACTCAAAGGAAATGCTTATTGGGGCATTTCAGATTTTGAATGTTTGGATCTGGGATGTTCAGACAGTAAGTATAATACAATATTCCAAAATTTTTAAAAAAATTCCAAATCCGAAGCATGGGTCCCAAGCATTTCAGATAAAAGATACTCAACTTGTATATATAGGGTTTGACACTATCTGCAGTTTCAGGCATCCACTTAAGTCTTGTAATATATTCCCTGCAGATAAGGGAGGACTATTATATTCATATCAACATTATATTGTAACCACAAACTGGAAACAATCCAAACATCCATTAAATAATGAGTAGATAAATTAAATATGGTGTATCCATAAAATGGAACACTATTAAGCAAAAAAGGGAATGAACTATGGTTACATACTACTATGTGAGTAAACCTCAAAAACATTACACTAAGTGGTGTTTATAGCAGCACAATTCACAATTGCAAAAATATGGAACCAACCTAAATGCCCATCAACCAAACAGTGGAAAAAGAAAATATATACACCATGGAATACCAGTCAGCTATGAAATGGAAGGAAATAATGGCATTTGCAGCAACCTACATGGAGTTGGGGACCATCATTCTAAGTGAATTAACTTAGGAATAGAAAACTAAATATCATATATTCTCAGTTATAAGTGGCAGCTAAGCTATGAATACACAAAGGTATAAGAATGATATCATGGACTTTGGCGACTTGGGAGAAGGGTGGGAGAGGGTGAGGGATAAGACTATACATTGAGTACAGCACAAAATTTTGAGTACAAAATATACTGCTTGGGTGACGGATGCACCGAAATCTAAGAAATCACCACTAAAGAACTTATCCATGTAACCAAAAAATACCTGTTTCCCAAAAACTATTAAAATATAACAAAGAAAAAAGTGTTTAAAATTTAAAAAAGCATTATGCTGAATGAAGGAAGTTACACACAAAAGACTACATATTGTATAGCCATTTATATAAAATGTCCAAAAAAAGGAAAATTTATAGAGACAGAAGTCAGAAGGAATAGGAATTTACTGAAGATGAGCTTTAAAGAAATGTTTAGGGTGATGGAAATATTCTAAAGCTGGTATACTGTGATGGTTGCAAATTTTAAAAATTTACTAAAAATTATTTCATTGGTTACACAGGGTGAATTTTATGGTATGTAAATTATACCTCAATAAATCTGCTTTTTGAAAAATGTCAATGCCTAATTGAATGCAAAAGTTCCAAGCCTTGGATCTCAATGGACCTAAACTTAAGACAGTCTTATCTGTAAAAAGTTTTGTAATATTCTTATTTATTTAAAAGTAAATATGTGTTTTACTGTACTGATATAGAAATTTTTTTAAATTCATCCACACACCAAAAAAAAGAAGTTTTAAATGAGGTCAAAATAATTTTTAAGGAAGTTTTATATATTTATTTATTTCTGAGACGGAGTCTCACTCTGTCACCCAGGCTGGAGTGCAATGGCATGACCTCAGCTCACTGCAGCCTCTGCCTACCAGGTTCAAGAGATTCTCTGCCTCAGCCTCCTGAGTAGCTGGGATTACAGGCATGCACCACCACACCCAACTAATTTTTTTTATTTTTAGTAGAGTTGGGGCTTTGCCATGTTGGCCAGGGTGGTCCCAAGCTCCTGACCTCAGGTGATCCTCCTTGCTCAGCCTCCCAAAGTGCTGGGATTACAGGCGTGATCCCACCATGCCCGATGTAGGAAGTTTTAATAGTATCTTTCTGAATGACAAGAGATCATCTTGCACAACTTACTTTGAAAATCCTTTTTCATTACTTACTAATCCACTCCATGCATCCAGAATGAAGCCAGAATTCACATACAGACTTTTTAATAGAAACATCATTTAAAACACCTAAAGAAACAAGTAAATTAATCTGTAGCAGAGCTCTGCTTATGACTCAGAATGTCTCTATTTCTTGGGTGCTTCAAAAATCTAGAGCCAAAGTTTATTTAATAATTATAGATAATAATAATGGCAGAGGTTTGATCATTTCTATTCTAAATTCTATTCCAAAATGCAAGTTTGTTTTACATACAGAAAGTCATATTGTTCTGTTTTTGTCCCTATAATCCATTCTAAACATCATACTCTATTTATCCTTTGCTCCATAGATCTTTTAATGACCTTTGGATGAAAGCAATAAAATGATAACTTGATGATTGCCACACATGCACAACAGGACATAAATTGAAGGTAAAATGTATCGGTCAAAGCACCTAGTCTGCTTCTCAGTCACTGCATAAATTTTCCCAGTGACATACTAAATAGTTAAATACTCACTTTTTTAAAAATAAATGCATATTCTAAGATTTCCTGCATCTGTATATTTTCATAGCCACCTTATTTTCCTTGTTCTATTACTAGCATATATTCCTCATTCTCTTGAACAAAGTCCCAATAGCAGTTGAACTCTAGCAATTTTAACTAACCCTAGTAATCTACTTTCAAATCTTTAATCAAAATATTTTTCCCTGCAGTTGATGAATATTTGCTCCTTCACATTTGTACAATGATTTTTTTTCATTCTGTCATTTAGAGGCCACAAACCTTAAAAATGTTAATCTGCCAATGAATAACTCTTGGGTGTTGATGCTATTAAAGTTAAAGGCAAATAGGGCTGGAATAATCAAAAGTGAATTATCTCTAACTAGATGTTATACTTGTATAAAACTAAATGATGACTGGGCGCGGTGGCTCACGCCTGTAATCCCAGCACTTTGGGAGGCCGGGGCAATCACAAGGTGAAGAGATCGAGACCATCCTAGCCAACATGATGAAACCCCGTCTCTACTAAAAATACAAAAATCAGCTGGGCATGGTGGTGCGCACCTGTAGTCCCAGCTACTCGGGAGACTGAGGCAGGAGAATCTCTTGAATCTGGGAGGCGGAGGTTGCAATGAGCCGAGATCGCGCCACTGCACTCCAGCCTGGCAACAGAGCGAGACTCCGTGTCAAAAAAAAAAAAAAAAAAAAAAAAAAAAGTCTAAATGGCAAACTAATTATTTTTAAGTAAAAACTATGGGTTTCATGAGTTATTTTCCCCAATTTCAGTGTAACTACTAACTTTGAGAAAGTTTCCTCACATTCAGTATTTTGTAGAAATCCATCATAAACTTGAAGATGGTATTTAAGTTTATTATAATTGAAGTAATATCAGTAAGATGGTAAAATAAGAAGTCTCACTTCTCTTTTCCCACAGGGTCACTGAATTAACAGCAACAAACAAAGCAAAAATCCTTTTTGAGAATTCCAGAAAAACGTTAAGAAGTTGCAGTACCCCTCGTGAGCACAAAGCTAAGTACAGCAACATTGAAAAGGGTAAGAAGGGCCATTCCATTTTATCCATGATTGTTCCTCCAAGTCAGCACAGTTTAGGTTGGCTCATGGCTTTTCCTTTAAGGGCAAAGAGAAGAGTGTACATCTAACATCCTGGCTTTTTGGAAGACAGCCCAAGAGACTGGTATCTGTTTTGCCTGACTAAAAGTACTAACAGAACCGCATAATTTGGATGCCTGGAGGTCTCTTAAAGCAAAAGCAAGTGGCCGGGCGCGGTGGCTCAAGCCTGTAATCTCAACACTTTCGGAGGCCGAGGCGGGTGGATCACGAGGTCAGAAGATCGAGACCATCCTGGCTAACACGGTGAAACCCCGTCTCTACTAAAAATACAAAAAATTAGCTGGGTTTGGTGGCGGGCGCCTGTAGTCCCAGCTACTCGGGAGGCTGAGGCAGGAGAATAGCATGAACCCGGGAGGTGGAGCTTGCAGTGAGCCAAGACGGTGCCACTGCCACTCCAGCCTGGACGACAGAGTGAGACTCCATCTCAAAAAAAAAAAAAAAAAAAAAGAAAGAAAGTGGGGAACCATGTGGTGCTGCAGGTAGAGGCTGTTAGGGCTTGGTACAACTGGGACAAGATTTTCAACTCATCACTTCTCCCTTGGGAAAGAGGAAAAAAGTAAACCAGACATTTGGCATTTTGGCTTTTTGGAATGCTGCCCAAGGAACTGGTATCTGTCTCATCTGACTTGGGAAGCTAGTGGAAAGCTACCATGCTTTGGATGCCTGGAGGCTACTAAGACAAACGAAAGAGGAGTACCTTGCTACTTCTATGAGATAACCTATAGTATGACTGACAGACATCACAGAAAGCAAGAGATTATAAGCTCCTGAGAAAGAAAACAGCAAAGCTCTCTAATTGGGAAATCATATGCACAAGACTGGAAAAATCACATTCCCCAAAAAAGGTTTCAAGCCCCCAGGATCTCTAGCTGGGCTAATTGGTGAAGGTCTTTCCCTGAACAAATCCAATCTGTGAAGACTGGAAGAGGTAGCTGTTTTTTCAAACGCATAAAACTCAGCCAAACACACACACACACACACACACACACACACACACACAGAGAGAGAGAGAGAGAGAGAGAGAGAAAAAGGAAAGCATGGCAGAACAAAATTAATTAACAAAATTAATCTCCAAAAACCAACCCCAAAGAAACACAGATGAATTACCTGACAAATAATTCAAAATAATTGTTGTAAAGAAGGCAATGATCTACAGAGATAGACAACTAAATGAAATCAGGAAAATGATCCATTTCCCAATTTAAAAAAATGATTTTTTAAAAACTAAAAAAAGAAAGGCCAAACAGGAATTCTGAAACTAAATAACGCAATAACTGAACTCAACAATTTTCTAGAGGGTCCAATAGTAGATTTGATTAAGCAAAAGAAAGATTCAGCAAATGTGTAGAAAGATCATTTGAAATTAATGAATCAGAGGAGCAAAAAGAGAGAAAGAGATACAGAGACAGAGAGGTCGAGAATGAAGAAAAGTGAAGAAAGTAGGAGAGACTTAGGTACACCACCAAGCAGAAAAACATGTAATACACAGTGAAGGAGAAGAGAGCAGGAAAGGACACAGAGCTTATTTGAAGAAATAAAGGCTGAAAATTTCCCAAATCTGAGGAAGGAAATAGACATCCAAATTCAAAGAACTCAAAGGACCTTATCCAGAATGACCAAAAAAAGACCCATGTAAAGACACATTAAAGTTAGCAGAAGTAAAAGTCAAAGAGGAATTAAGGAAATGACAGTAGTAAGTTTTTCCTTACAGTAATATCTTTAAATGTAAATGGATTAAACTCCCCAATAAAAAGATATGAAGTGACTGAATGGATTACTTTAAAAAAAAAAAAAAAGATGCAACTATATGCTTTCTACAAAAAACTCACCTCCGATGGAAAGGCGAACAAAGCGTGAAAGTAAAAGGATAAAAATAGATATTCTATGCAGATGGTAACCAAAAGAGAGCAGAAGTAGCTACTTATACAGACAAACTAAATTTTAACTAAAAAACTGCCACAAGAGACAAAGGACATGCTCTAATGACACAAGTGTCAATTCTTCAGAAAGATATAACAATTAAAAAAATATATATATATATACATATATATGTATATATGCACTAACATCAGAGCACCCAAATACATGAAGCAAACATTGACAAAATTGAAGGGAACAATAGACTATAACACAATAATGGTAGGAAATTTCAATATCCACCACAACCAGACGGAAGACCATTAAGAACATAGAGGGCATAGCAACACTGCAGACCAACTGAACCTAACAGTCATATAGAACCTACCATTTAACAGCAACATAATATACATTTTTCTCAAATGCACTCAGAACATTCTCTAGAATAGATCATGTTAGGCTACAAAATAAGTAAAACAAATATTAAAAGATGGAAATCTTACCAAGCAGCTTTTCTTATCACAATGAAATGAATCAGGAACAGTAGCAAAACTGGAAAATTCAAAAATATGTAGAAATTACACACCACATACTTAAACAACCAATGAGTCAAAGTGAAATAAAAAAAGAAATAAGAAAATATCTTAAAATAAATGAAAATTAAAACACAACATACCAAAACTTATGGAGCATAGCAAAAGAATTACTAAGGGAGAAGCTTATAGTTGTTAACATTTACATTTAAAAAAAATCTCAAATCAACAATCTAACTTTATTCCACAAGGAATTGAAAAAGGAAGAACGAACTAACCCAAAGTTAACAAAGGGAAGAAGATAATAAAATTAGAGATCAAATAAACAAAATAGAGAATGAAAAAGCAATAGAAAAACATCAATGACTAAGATTTGGTTTATTAAAAAGATCAACAAAATTGTCAAGCCCTTAGAGAGATTAAGAAAAAACAGAACAGAGAAGACTCAAATAATTAAAATCATAAATGAAAGGGGAGACATTACAACTGATGCTATGGAAATTAAAAGGATCATAAGAAAGTACTATAAATAATTGTATGTTAACAAAATGGATAACCTAGATTAAATGGATAAATTCCTAGAAATATACAACCTACCAAGACTAAATCAAGAAGAAATAGAAAATCTGAATAGATCTATAATTAATAAGGAGATTGACTCAGTAATCTAAAGCCTCTTAACAGATAAGTTTAAGACCAGATGGCTTCACTGGAGAATTCTATGAAATATTTAAACAACAATTAATGTCAATTATTCTCAAACTCTTCCAAAAAACTGAAGATGAAAAAAAATTCCAAATTTATTCTATGAGGCTAGCATTACCCTGATACCAAAGCCAGATAATTAAAACTACAGACGAATAACCCTGAAGAATATTGGTGCAATAATTCTCCACAAAATCTTAGTAAAACAAAGTCAACAGTACATTTAAAAAATTATATGTTATGAGCAAGGGTGATTTATCCTTGAAATGCAAACATGGTTCGACATATGAAAATCAATAAACGTAGCATAACATGTTAACAGCACAAAGAACAAAAATTACATGATAATTTCAGCTGATGTAGAAAAAGCATCTGATAAAATTCTTCAGACTTTCATCATAAAAACAAACTAGAAATAGAAATAAATTGCCTCCACACAATAAAGGTCATATAAGAAAGCCCACAGCTAACATCACCTCAGCAAACTAAAAGCTTTTTTTTCTAAGATCAGGAACAAAGCAAATATGCCTACTCTCATGACTTCCATGACTTCTTTTCAACATACTGCTGGAACTCCCAGTCAGAGCAATTAGGAAAGGAAAAAGAAGTAAAAGGCATCCAAATTTTAAATGACGAGTTAATGGCTGCAGCACATCAACATGGCACATGTATACATATGTAACAAACCTGCACGTTGTGCACATGTACCCTAAAACTTAAAGCATAATTTTAAAAAAGCAGCAAAATTATCTCTATTCACAGGCGATATGATCTTATATGTTGAAAACCCCAAAGATTCTGCAAATACACACACACACACAAACACACACACACACACACAACTGTTAGAACTAATAAATTCAGCAAAGTTACAGGATACAAAATCAACTTGCAAAAAATAACCAAAAAAAGGAAATCAAGAAAACAGCCCATTTACAATAATGTCAAAAAAATACTTAGGAATAAACTTGACCAAGGAGGTGAAAGACTTATACACTGAGAACTACAAAACATTGAAGAAGAAACAAATAAACAGGAAGATATCGGTGTTTATGGACTGGAAGACTTCACCTCGTTTAAATTTCTCTACTATTCAAAGTGATCTACAGATTCAATGTAATCCCTATCAAAATATCAGTGGCATTTTTAATTATATTTAATAATTATACATATCTTGGGAGTACATGTGATATATTGAAACCTATATACCATGTGTAATGAGCAATGCAGGGTAATTGAGAGACAGCCATCACCTTAAACATTTATCTTTTCTTTGTGTTGGGAAGATTACAATTCTTCTAGTGACTTTGAAATATACAATAAATTATTATTGACTATAAATTGTGTGCTCAGTAGCATTTTTTTCAAAGTAGAAAAATATCCTAAAATTAATATGTCATCTCAAAAACCCTAAAAGCCAAAACAATCTTTAGGAAGAAGAACAAATTTGGAAGGCATCCACTACCTGATTTCAAAACGTATTACAAACCTACCATAACCAAAACAGTATGATATTGACATAAAGACAGACATATACACCATTGTGTTCAAACAAAGTAGAAAGCTCAGAAATAAACATTCCCGTATATGGTCAAATGAACTTTCACAAATGTGCCAAGACCATGCAATATGAAAAGAATAGTCCCTTCAATCAATGATATTGGAAAAATTGGATATCCACATGAAAAAGATGAAGATGTACATTTATCTTGAACCATACAGTGAAATTAACTCAAAAATGTATTAAAGGCCCAAATGTAAGACCTAAACTATAAATTCCCAGAGGAATACATAGGGGAAAATCTTCATGACAATGGAATGGGCAATGATTACGTGAATATGGCATTAAAAACATGGGTAACAGAAGCAAAAAAAGACAGATGGAACGATATCAAAATTAAAAACTTCCATGTAGCAGAGACAATAATTAACAGAGACAACCTATGAAATGAGAGAAAATGTTTGTTAATCATATGTTGGAAAAGGGTTTAATATCTAGAATATGTAAAGAATTCCTACAACTGAAAAACAAAAAATAAATTTAAAAAATCATTTAAAAACAAGCAAAGGACTTTCATAGACATTTCTCAAAAAAAAATATGGGAATTGCCAAGAAGGATATAAAAGATGTTCAACATCACTAATCATCAAAGAAATCATGATGATGAGACATCACCTTCACACCTATTAGAATGGCCACTATCAAAAAAATGAAATAACAAGTGTTGGTGAGGATGTAGAAAAATTGGAACCCTTCAGTGCTGTTCTTATAGGGATTGCAAAATGATGGAAACACTACGAAAAACAAAATGGAGGGCCCTCAAAAAATTAAAAATAGAACTACCACATGACTCACCAATCCCACTCCTGGGCTTATATCTCCCCAAAAATTAAAAATAGGACCTCAAAGAGATAGTTGCATACCCATGTTCATTGCAGCATCATTCACAATAGCTAAGGGGTATATACATACAGTAGAATATCATTCAGCCTTTAAGAAGAGAGAAATCCTGTAATATACTACAACATGGATGAATCTTGAGACTATCATGCTATGAAATAAGCCAATCGCAAAAAGATAAAACTGCATGACTCCACTTATATTAGTTATCTAAAATAATTAAATACATAGAAACAGAAAGTGAGATGGTAGTTTCTAGGGACGGGGGGGACATGGGAAACAGAGTAGTTGTTCGATGGGTACAAAGTTCATTTGTGCAAGACGAAAAAGTTCTAGATATCTATTTTACAAAAATATGCATATACTTAACAATACCACAATGTGCCCTTAAAAAATGTTAAAAGCATAAATTAAAAGAGCCTATTATAACTGGTTTTTTTTGGGGGGGGGGGGCACCAAGATAATGAATTTCATATAACACTAGGAAATGTCCAGAGTCTATTTGCATTCAATATAGGTTTCAGATGTCAAGTCATGAAATATTCTGAATCATATTTCAAAGCCAAGAAGAAAGTATTTTTAAATGTATCTGATAAGCAACAAAATAAATAACATAGTACTAGATCATAACCCAAAATATGATGTAAATATACAAGAGCCCACATGAGCATAAATAAATTCTGGAATAGAAAAACAGGGGGCAAGAGAAGAAACAAATAGTCCTTTCAAAAGAATTTCAAATAATACATACAAATATACTCCAGCCTCCATGAAGTGGAACTTAATCTCCCTCCACTTAAATGTAGGCTGGACTTAGTGACTTGCATTCAAAGAACAGAGTACAGAAAGGGAAAATAGGAACTTCACAGTAGAGAATCCTGGTAAAAAAATAGCTTAACCAAGTGACCAGGGTTAACATCACTGGTGATAAAATATGTTGATATTAGACACCCTCTGATACAATGCGATGAGAAAGGCACATCTGTGGTATTCATCACAAAAAGAAACGTAAATCCAATCTAACCAAGACAAAAACATTAAACAGACTCAAATTGCAAGACATTCTACATAATACTGACAAGTACTCTTCAAAACTGTCAAGATCATGAAAAACAAGGAAAAACTAAGAAACTGTTGCCAAGCAAAGGAGACTATGAAGACATGCAGCAAAATGCAATATGATATCCTAGATGCAATCCTAAAACAGAAAAATATCATTAAAGAAAAAACGGTCACATCTGAATCGAGTGTATAATTTAATTAATGGTAGTATATTGTTGTTAACCTCTTAGTTTTGTCAAATGAACCACAGTTATGGAAGATGTTAATATTAGGGAACTCTCCACTACCTTTTCAACTCTTCAATAAATCTAAAAGTACAATATTCCAAAATAAAAGTTATATAAAAGTTATCTTATGAGTATCTGAACATGTGTTAAAGAGCTTACTCAAATCAGTGACAAGCTGATAGTCTCAATACCAAAGCCTGAATGATGTAGCGTTTAGTAACACAGTCTTTGAAGACAGAATATCTGACTTCTAAACTAGATTCAGCCCCTTAATGGCTATGTGACCTTGGGAAGCTTAATTTTTCAGTGTCTCAGTCTCTCCACAGGTAAAAGGGGATAAGAAAATTATGTACCATATGATTTCTGTGAGGATTAAATGAGTTAATTTATTATTTATTATAATGTTTGTTTATATAGCAAGCTGTCGATAAATGTAAGCCCCCATTATTATTATCTTGAAAATACATCACTTTAACACATAGTACTAGCAGTAGGTACTCTTGTCAGTGCTTTACATCCACAGCTTTCTTGCTACTTTTCTCAGTGCCAAATAAAAAATGGCTTTCTTTAAGAAAGGTGTGCAAGAAATTAAGGTATTAGAGGCATTTGGTCTCCTGTGGGTGTCGCTACAACCAGTACTAGTAATATATCTCATCTGCATGGTGCTTGACTTTTCAAAGGACTTTACCGTGCCTTACTTTGATCCATTCTCACAACACACTTCCACAAGAAAAGACAAATCAGATTTTATCTTCAACTTGTAAATGAGTAAAATAAGCCCTCATGAGATTAGATTCCCACAGCTGGCTAGCGGTAAAGCTGAGTGAAATCAGGGATTTTCTTTCAATGTCTCACTAACTCTTTTGTGGCTCAGTTAGAACCTCTACACATGAAGTCATCCAAAAGTATCTCACTATCTCATACTAGGTGGCCTTAAAATTAGTGATTCAGAGCTTCCTTAGAATTCTCTAAATACATCAAATGAACAAACAAACAATGAATATGGATGGGCTCCAACCACTTGGTTTCATTTTTTGTCCCTCACATGACAGTCACAGAAATGTTTCTGTCTTTCTCTGCTTTGGATTTTCTTCCCTTCCTAAGTAGGGTTACAGTATAATTCTCCCTGACTCGACCATCCCAGCCTACCTCCCTGCCTTCTAGCTTCAGAAGTCCTAGTCATTAAATCTTTGGTCATACAGTGCCATAGAAATCCATGTGTCTGCTCTCGATCTAACTGAAACCAACCTTTGGAAATGGTTTTAGGAAAGCAATCTCGTCACTCTACATAGAATTCTTCCTGTCGTTAAAGAGTCCTTCAGACATTACCTAGACACTCCAAAACGAGAAGATCAGAACATGACTATATTTTAATCCCTTAACTAGTTTTAAGAAATGTGAGACAAAAATGTTCCAAGTTACTGGGGATCCATTTGATTCCACAATAGCTAAATAAGCCACCACTTATGAGCAAATTATATTTCAATAGCTCATTTATAAGGCACATATTTGGAAAGATTATTTCATAAACACTTGCTCAATAGCAAGCCAACCTGAAAAGGCAGATTTTTATATAATGTATTGGCAGAGTATTTATAAGAGAGGGGAGAGAGCATGCAGTCTTGAGAGAGGCAGACTTGGATTCAAATCTTAATTCCACAATTTATTAGTCAAGAGACATGGAGCATGTTATACATTCTCTCTGAATTTCACTTGCTTCATCTGTACAGGTGGAGTCCTAAAGCATATATCACAATCATAAGAATAAAAGAAAGATTAACTATAGCTAACACTTGTTGAATGATTATTTAGTGGCAAGCATTAAGCCAAGGATATCCATTATCTTATTTAATCCTTACACCAATCCAAAACAATATACAGATTTTTAAAAATGAAGCCTAATGGAGCTTCTATGAGGATTAAATATAAAACATCTATCATATGACCAGGCAAATTCTTTTTCTTTTAGAGTAAGAAGAAACTGATCTAACAAAACCATAAAATTTGTCATTTCAAGACTGTGAACTCCATGAATCTAGGCATTGTGTCAATCTTGTTTACTACTGTATTCTCAGCCACTCCAGGGAAACATAATTATTGAATAAATGTACAAATGAATGAGTTAGTTAATTTTCAAGAGGCAGTAGTATTTCAGAAGTGTTACTAAAATATCTAGAGCACTTTTTTAAGTTCCTGGAAACATGAAAGCTTCTAAGCAGCATATATAAATTTGAAGAGAAATATCTCTTCATCTTCTGAGACTTGAGCTTACTTTTCTTCATCAGTGAACATTGAAGTATTAACAAGGTATGACGCTCTTTTCCCTTATCTTGTATAGTCTTTCTCACCCTCTGAGTCTAACTTTCAAATAAAAGTATTTATGTCACTTATTTCCATTTTCCTCAAATCTAAAGCCTAAATACTCAACATTAACGTTTACAGAATGTAATATTCTTTAAACATAGCAGAATTATCTGGTACCTACAATTCCTGAAATTTTCCAAAGGACTATAAAGCCAACCAGCTCACGTATCTTGCTGCATCAAGTTAGGTACCACTTTTACATATGTTTTCTATCTTCCAAACTTGGAAACATCTTTTATCTACTTTTCTCTCCTCTTCCATTCCATGTGTTTATATATTTATTAAACTTTTGTTATTTTAATTGGGTTTCACAAATTGTTTTCAACCCAATGTGTTAAACTGGAAGCCCATAACATCCACAATAGTTTGTCTTTATTTCTGGGTTTCGTAATTCAGAAGTAGTTATTATTTGGAGTATAAAACTGATGCATAAACCTACATCATCCTCCTTTAATTCACCTATAGCAGCATCTATAAAGGGACATGCACAGAGTAAGATTGCAACAGATGCCCTTGCAGATGAATAGATGAAGAAGAAAGTACAGAAATGAACGAATGGGAGAATAAATATATCCTAAAACTTTTCTCAGATTTAAACTAAAAATTCTACAGAACCTTAAACATTATCTTGTACAAACCCCAACCAATGAAGGAATCCCCTTTAAAATATCCCTAGTGCTCACCTATTCTCTACTTGAGCAATTCCATGAATAGAAGTTCACAACTCCACTAGATAAACCACTGTGGGTTTTGTTTAGTTTTCATTGTTTAAACCTCTGGGTTAATCTCTAGGATGGCAAGACGTTCAGCAGAGACAAGCACCAGGGCACCACCCTCCTGAAATGGCCATGTAGAATCTATTCTAGCAAGGATAGGGCCAGTATAGCAGCAGATACAACCAGACTCCAGGGACAGCAAATTCTATTAGAAGTAAGCAGAGTCCAGGGTAAGTACTGTCAGGGGTACAAGGTGTCATATCTGTGTCCAACAGATTGTTCTGAGAAATAGTTTTAGGATTTGTTCCAGTCTACAGAGCCCACAAGCCTGGGTCTCTAGTCTTTCCAGAGATTCCTTTTAATATCTGTTTAATATTATATAATATCAAATATCCTTTTAGCAAATTTCTATTCTGTCTTAAATTAGCCAGTCAGGTTCTTTTGTGTGGATAAAAATCTCTGATTCATGAAAGTATTTAACTTTTAAATAACAAATTCAATAAAAATAAAAATATCTAAACAAAAATAAAATCGCTTTATGAAAATATTACCAAATAATGTTAAAAGCTAATATCAACATTGGGATCTGAATCCCTTCACAAGACATCAGTTTCTCAGTGTGAAAGAAGCAGATTGGTCCTTTAAGTTTTTCTTTTCCCAGAGCACTGGTGCTTTATTTAGTAAATTTCTCCTTTGGAACTAGGAAGCATCAAAGAGGTCCATTGCCAGGAAGTGAGCAGTGTACTCCCTTCTAATAACACTGTGGTGGGAGTCGATTATTGTAGCCCAGCTGCTCAATGAGTAGAAAATGAGGATTGATGGCCTATTCAAACAGTTGAGGCTGAATTATTATTTGAAAGAGGAGCAAATATTTCTCCCAAGTACTCTTGAATTTTATTAAAATAATTAATGCTAGTTATATAGCTCTGAAATAATATAAAAATTAATAATAAAACTTTCCATACAGACATAGCAGAGTTTATTGGCCAAGTAAGAAAACTCATCAAACCTCACTTCTCATTTTTCTAGTCTAATACATACGGTAAAAACATGAAATCACTAAGATTTATAAATGCAGGTTTGGCAGACTTTTTCTATTTACTGGGACTGTGAGCTATAAAATTGAATTTGGGGCCCTATCTCCAAGAAGAAGTTATTAGTTCTCAGAATAACTGCATGTTAGTGGATCAGACATAGATAAAAGACTTCCATTATGACTGTTTTTAGCTATGATTTACAGTGGCCTACATTGTTTTATAATGACTTTCAATTTTGAAAATGTACATCCACTGTTAGTTTTATGGATGTAGTCACAATTGATTGTGGGCTTGAGAGATTGATCCTTCTAACCCAGTAACAAAAAAGAAAAGTTTTTAACGTACAATAAGTAGACATTCCAGATGCATTTACAAGCATGTCCTTTGTAGAATTTTCAGAGGAAAATAGACATAAATTTTTTTAAATAATTGCTTAACCATTTATTACCTTTAGTTAGATTCCAGAGGAAACTAGTGAATAAAGCTTGCTTGATATAGAGCTCTAGTCCTCTACCTGTACACAATTCTGAGAGATTACCTACTCATTTGTGTCCCAGTGAAAATGAAAAAATGTCATATACTCAACTGCTAAGTAGGACATGGTGTAAATTACCATTAAATAATGAATTTGACAAAAAGAAACAAACCAAGACATCAGCTCTTGATGTAGTTCACCCACGTTTCTTCTCTAACTCATAACAAGGCAGATGTGCCAATGATTTCAACCAGTCTTGGGACCCATGATAGCATCGAGCTTGAAACCCATACTAAAAGTTTCCTAACACTGCCTACCACTCCTCCCAAACCATTCTATTACAAACCCACCCCTACCCACATTTCCTACTCAAAACTGGTCTTTACTCCAAATTAGACATGGTTAAAGCCAAAGGCTATATCTAGACCCCAAATTACATCCCTCCCTGCCCTTCACCATCTTAGCTTGTTCGTCTGCCTAGGTTCTTTCTCCTTAATTTCCAGACAGTTGACAAGACTTCTACTCTGGTCCCTTCCTCCACAATTGAAGCCCACCAAAACCATATCACATTTGGCTCAAGTAGCTTGTATCTTTCCTAACTTTTCTCCATCCCCTTCACTGAAACAAGATATATCTATAATTCAGTGTCATTTTTAATTTTTTATCCTTTCTAAACATCAAGAAAATTTAAACATAGTGATTTAAGTAAATGAGCAAATCAGATGAAACATAATATTTTATCATTATTATATAATAACAGTGGTAAGCCACATTTATATTACTCTAAGCTTTGTTGTCCAATTATATTCATAAAACTGGAAAGGAGAAACTAACATCTATTGAGGGCCTATCATTTAGCAAATCTGTGCCAAAGAGATAAAGAGCATGTTCTTTCCCTTTTATTTTCAGATGGAAACCAAAACAAAGAAAGAAAAAAGGAGGGAAGGAAAGAAGGAAGGAAGGAAGGAAGGAAGGAAGGAAGGAAGGAAGGAAGGAAGGAAGGAAGAAAGGGAGGCAGGGAGTCCACAACCTGACATAATTCCCCAAACAATCATATTTGGTAAAAGTGCTGAGTCAGGATTTGAATCAAGGTCTGTGTGAGCCAGGCCATATTATGTATCTTAAAGTGTATGATACCACCTTAAAATAAAATTTTTGGTCTGATAATAGTAAAGCTTCTCTGCTTATTTTATAAAAACACTAGCAAGTTCTGGTGAGTCACTATTATTTTATATAAAAGGTATGTGTTTTTCCTATTTTGCTATTGAGAAATTTGATTTACAGGGAGGTAAATAATTTGATCTAAATCACACAGTTTGTTAGTGGCAAATTCAAACTAGAAACTCAGATCTGATGGTATTTAATTCCATTACAGAATGTTTACACAAATGGAACAGAAGGTATTCATTCAAGTTATATATTTTGTATGATTTCAAAGTGAAGGCTGGGTGCAGTAGCTCATGTCTGTAATCCCAGCACTTTGGGAGGCTGAAGCATGTGGATCACTTGAGGGCAGGAGCTTGAGACCAGCTTGGCCAACATGGTGAAACACAGTCTCTACTAAAAATACAAAAGTTAGCCGGGCATGGTGGCACATGCCTGTAATCCCAGCTACTTGGGAGGCTGAGGCAGGAGAATTGCTTGAACCAAGAGGCGGAGGTCGCAGTGAGCCGAGATCACGCCATTGCACTTCAGCCTGTGTGACAGAGCGATCCCCTGTCTCTAAAATGAATAAATAAATAGATAAATAATCAAACTGTTAGTCCAATTTCATCTTATCTAGAATGGTAAAATTAGGATCTTGCTCATTGAAATTGCTTGACCGTATGTTAAAATTTGCTAAAATTAATATTTATTCACTTCCTAATAGAAAATCACATCAAAATATTTCCATAGGTGATATATAAAGCCCTTTTATTTCTTCTTATACTAATGGGCCCAAAATTATTTGCTTTGGGGAAAAAAAAACAGAAAAACAAATAAATAAAATAATGTATAATGAGAAGCTGAACTAATGATATCAAAGCTCTCTACCAGTTTGATCTTTAAATGTCCATCTTTTTCACTCAAAGGGTATCTAATACTACACAAATAGACGCCAATAGCAAGAGACAAATGCATTTCACTATATTCCATGTAATCAATTATACTGAAGGCTAGAAAATTCTAAATTATTTTGAAACCACACATGCTACACATCCATGCATCACACACACACACACACACACACACACACACACACTCTTCTTTTTAACTTGTAATATTTTTCCAACACTGCAACTACAATATAAGTTGTGAGGATACGGAAAGAGGGATTTTCAGACCTCAGAAACTTTGAGACACAAAAGAATTGTCAAAAAAAAAAAAAAAAAACAAAAGGAGAGCATTCTCTGAGGAAAAAAATAGGAAAAAAATTAAAGATTTTATTTACCAGATTTCTCAAGTGTTTGAGACAAAAGCTAAGAATAGCATTTAACTGATATTTTCAGTTATTATTTGCATTAAACATACTTTCGTATGTCAACATTTTATTAAAAAGTAAGACTTTTAAGGATTAATTTAATATTTCCCACATGTTGTATGGCAAGGTTGATGTCTTCAGGTGAATTATCGATGACACAGATTTCTCAGAAAATGAAAATCAAATGCATTCTCAGTCTCTAGAGTAGTTTGGTATTAAAATTGTTAAGTCACACATAGATAAATTTACTCATCACTTTATTGCTATATTTCAAAAACTCCTTGGATAGTTTAAGACTATGCCAACACATTTTTAAAAATTAGCCATAGTTATAAAAGATTTTTATGAACTAATCAACTGAACAAATTATTTTCATATATGTTATGGTGAAAAAGTGGCTTGTAATCAAAATCCAACTCCGCCTCTCAATAGCACAGGCACACTGTGCATGCCATCTAATTTTTCTGTAAATCAATATATTTATTTAGAAATTTAATAATATTAACCCATCTGGCTTTATTGTCTTCTCAAGATTATTGTGAAGATTAAACATGGCAAAATGCATTAGAAATTGCAAAGCAATATATCAGCATATCTATTATGTTATTTTGTATATGTCATAATGGTCAATTAAAATAAATTATTTACAAGAAAACTGGAAATTTATTATCTTATCCAAATGTCTTGTGTGGACTATGAGTGCATCCAGCTCAGCATTCTGCCATTAACTCAGAATCCTATAAAGTGGCAGTGATGAAAAAGACATACTCTACAAGAAAACTCATCTAGCAAGTTGGCTGACCACTCACCAGTTATAAGGAAGTTGAAATTTTGGAAAAATAAAAGTTGAGAGTTTGAGAGAGAAGTGTAAGATCTGGGAAAGGAAGTGGGACAACGTAAGTAAATCAAGAATGTTTGGGTGATTTATATTATACTACCGTTGTATGTTTGCCCAGCAAGGATTTTTTTTTAAACCAACTCTCAAAAAATTATTCACCCTTTAAAAATTTTGACTATACGATTCAATCTGCTTTCCAACCAGTAATGCTCAATGGTCTGACAGTTTTTTTTAAGTATAAAAGGCATTTACAACTGAACTGCATTGAAGTTCTTTCCCCTATTTCTTACACCACATCCAGTTAATTGCTCTTTAACATGCTAACAGAAGGATAAGCTGGTACATAATAATTCAGGCATGCACCGATCCTATAATGCCAGGAACTCAGAAGCAGCATGAGAAAACATCAGATTTTTGGCATGTGGGCTAGATGTTTAAATCTGCATAGATTCGAGCCAATTAGACTTGTCAGACTCCAATCCAGTTGAGAGTGACCCCTGATGGTGGAAAGACATGTGGGACAAGCCACAGAAAAGCTTGCAAATGTCAGAGAGGCCAAAAGGTGCCCCACTGGCCTCAAAACTATTAATTAGCAACCAGCAAAAGCACTACCAAAGAATCGCTGCCCCAGCACTCCTCCTCCAGAGGTTGCTGCTACTCGGCCTCATTATCATCTGGATGGAAAACAACACCCTTTCCTGGGAGCTCTCGGCAACACTCTTATTGATTAAGTTCCCACAGTGTTAAATCATTCTGTAGCTTTCACTCCAATCTTCCCACCCCTGAATAATAAAACCTTCAAAGGATTTACTGGGATGGAGAGGGAAGTGGGGGCACAAGGAGAGAAGCACTGCAACATACTGTTTATATAGTGCCCACAGTGTCAGCATAAATCAGATCCCAGGAAGCGTTTAAAAGACAACATGCAAAATGAAGTTAATCTGAATTTTCTCTTGTACTTACTAAGGTATGATTTCCTTTAAAAATATATATATTTCAACTATTTCTAAGTCATGTATGCCAAGTAAAATCATGACACTAAATAATATTTCTGCAAGTTCTCAGTGATCTTATTTGATTGGGAGATCACAAATGTCTGATAGACAAATGCCTATTCCAATATGAATAGCAAAATATTTCAAGGGGGTAGAGATGGAAGCAAAAAGCCAGAGCCATAACTTGAATCCCATGAGAAAAAATATTTGCATAAACTTTCACTCCAAATAACTTATTCTTTTTTTCAGTTACAGAGTATTTCTATTCAAACACAGAGGAAAGCAAGAAAATAATGTCAGTGATGTGATAGATTCACTTATTTAATTCATATTGTACAATACTGAACATCAGTTTTTTCACCTGTAAAATACAGTTTATAACTGCCTTGCAGAGTAAATGTGAGGATTAAATAAGAGTTACATACAGTAAGTGCTCAAAAAAGTATAATTGCTATAGTTATTATCCTTAGTACTATAAAGCAAATCACCAGTAACTTGCTTGTTCTCCAAAGCAAACCGTTTCATCCATTGGATCTGCTTGAAGCAATACATCTACACTCCAAGTTATTTCCAATTTCCCACAGAGAAATAATAAAATAAATGTTAAGTGGATATAAAAGATCTATATTTATTTGTGGTTTCTCAGCTAGCTGTCCCTAATAAACTGCATGACTCTGATTCAGAAGGACCATAGCTTTTGCCAAAATAGTGAGAGACATATTCAAGGGAAAAGAGGGTATCTAAGTTAGACAGAGAGGAGATCTAAGTTGGACAAACTTGGGTCCAAGTTCATGTTGTCCAAGTTTTTAGATGGCATGCTCTGGCCTTCTGAGCTAGAAACAAGTAAATAAGCTGGTGAGCTTTTAGGTAGGAAAATGTATTAATTTCATTTGATTATTTCATTTTGGTTAATAGTATCCCACAACTACTACATGTGGCAATTGGGAAGTCCAAGGCTGTGGGAAAACATAGTGATAATTTATGCATTTGCTAAGAAGTTAAGATCTATATTATGGTTACATAAGTGAGGCCATTTTTAAATATTTTTTGACTCATCCTCTATGTGCCCTATATCACATAAAAAAAACTTTGTGGTCTGAACACCCAGGGAGGGGGGAGAGAAACGGGACAGTTTAAATTTAGTGGGTTTAAAAATAAGCAACAGAGACAGAAAATGAATTTAAGATTTTTCAAGTGGAATGTCAAATACAGTACATAGTTCTCAAAAGAGAATGTTTAATGCAATATTTAGCAATATAAAATCAAAATTAAATTATTGAAATAATAGTCTGAGCAGTAAAGGAGAGAGGCCTCTCTGAAAAGTAGAGGGGGTTAAAGGAGACTTCAATTATATGAAGAACTTTGGAAACAAAGGTAGAATCAAATATAAAATGTCCTATTAACACTCAATCTTCTATGGATACTCCATTCCTTCTGTTGAACTTACAATTGCTACACATGTGACTTCATGGAATGTTAGGTGCAGGACAGCAATATCACCATTAAAAAATGGAAACAAAAATGCTCAATAATGTTAATCTACATGGATAAACTTTATGTTTTAATAGAAATGATTATGTGGACTAAATCATATTGGAAGTCAATTTATGATTTACAGTCCCTAACAAATAAATTGAAATGGTAAAATTATTTTTTGAATGGATATTTGTTATTACCTGTGTTGAATATTAACTGCAAGTTTAAAAAGCACTCTTCTAGAAATGTTGACTGATGACAATAGATAAGTGGACACAATTCACAGCTAAAGCACAAAAAGATATGTTGCTAGTATATGTCCAATTTACACACAAATTAAAATACTTTGGCTCTCAGTGTGCATTATGGCAGAGGACTTTACTCTTCAAGTTTACACATTCCAACCAATTCCACTATTTTCTTTTTTAAACAAACATAGTAAGATTTCACCTGTAAACACAGTGGGATTGATTATACAAGAAGCTGCATGGGGAAGCAAAATGCCAAAATATATTCTAGGCTTCACTACACACCTCTTGCAATATTGAACACTGTCTAGTAGTAGGTCTACATTCTCAGCCACAAATACGGAGATACCAGAGATTATTTTCATTGGGGAAAATAGTGTTCCCTGTTCATCCCTCTGACTCTTCCAGTAGATTTATTAATGCCAACAAGTCACAGTGGGAACAATTTGAAGACAAAACCTACCTAGAAAAACACGCATCACTAAACATAGTTATTTACTGAAAACTAAATTATGTTTTCTTTAAGCCTATAAGTTTAATGTGCTAATTATATAAACCATAAAATACAAAAGGAAGAGAAGAAAATCAGGTAAAATCAGCACCAAATTCATGAAGTTAGTGAACTCCAATCCAATGAGGTAAATTAACCAGCCACATGATTTCCATCATCTATTGTCCAATTTCCTGACACATCAGTCATGCAAAATGTGTACATACACCCCCCCGTGATAGTTAGAGCATCTGGCCCCTGCAGAATTATCCAAAGAGATGGTGTGAGCCCAAACGCAGGAATACATAAGAAACCATTTTGTAGATAAAATTCTATTTAAATGCAGCTGGCACTTCCCTCTGCATACCACACTACATCACAGCACACTGCACTACAGACACACATATATGTACACCAAGAAAAAAACATCCTAAACAACATTCTGGGAGACCACTTTTCCCTAATACTGAAGCCTAGGCTGTTTCCTCAAAATCTTGTTCTACATCATCAGACTGAAACTCTTGCTGGGAAGGATGAAGATAATGGCAACTCCAACTGAGAGGCCATTCACACTACTCATAATTATAGAACAGGATCGCAGTAGTTAGAAAAGGGGTGGGGGACCGAGGAGTAAAAGAGGAAACCATTCAATCACAAAAGCCATTTCTTGCCAAGACTGAATACTAGGTCTTGACAGAAGTTCAAATACCTATATTTATCTATCACTTTAGTGAGAGCTGATTTGACAACTCATTTCATTAATTTAATTTAAAAGAGCCGATCCCAAGTAAGTAATTATTTAACTAGGGTTTTAAAACTAATCACTATAGTTTTCTTTAAAATCAAATTCCCTATAATAATTTCACAGTATGAAATGGCATCAATTAACAAAGCTTGGTTATACTTGTCTCTTATGATGCAAGGAAAATTCTAACTAAATAACCTTGTATTATCACTTCACCTAGAAACCATCAGCATATTTTTGCTCCTTCAAGTAAACATCTTGGACTAACAGAATAGAAATTATAAACTATTTGTAGTCAGTCACATTCTTGGAGTTCATCAAAGAAAATCCTGTCCCCACTCAAACAAAACCCATCTATTTGAATCAGAGGTGAAATCTCCCTTCAGGTACTCAATACTTCGGTATGTTCATATTAGCACTATAATTTTTTAAAATTGCATTTTTAGTCTACTCATTTTATTTATCAAGAGTGCTAAAATTTAGTTGGAATAATTCAGTACTATGACAAAATTACTCCTATTAAACTTTGTATATCAAATAAGCAAAAATATTCCAAAATGAAAACCAGAAATAGAACTGATGCAAATCTCATTTTATATAAGCTAGTGATAGTAAACTAGCTTACAATGGGATGTCAATAACTGTTGCTAGATAGTTTTTATTACGAGGCGATGAGTCAAGACTCAACTGCCAAGAAACTAAAAACAAGAGAGATGAAGGTCTCTAGCAGCTGTTGTCAAATTTTTCTATTACAAGTTACCTAAGGACCTAAGGTTTCATTTTCGCAACATTTTGGCAAGCATATTATGTCTCTCTTTAATTTCCATTGCAACTCACTGTGAAAGGTTTATGTAACAAAGTGATGGAATGCTAACCCCTACAACAGAAAACAATGATTTTTACTCTTGTTAATAAAAACTAGGGTTTTTTAATTTTTTTTAGTAATTTATTTCACTGTCACTAATGGTCTTATGATAATAATCATAGTATATAATCTGACACAATTGCTCTTAGGAAAATTTCTAGCAAAGGACTGCAGCCTCTGTGGGAGGTAACTGTCGGAATTATCTTAAACCACTACCTGTCTTCCGCTACTATAGAAAAGGCCTTTAATCAAAATAATCCTTTCTCAAAAGAGCAACTTTTTTCCCTCTGCAATTCACTCATCTTAAAAGAGCACTATAGCTTTTGTGCATAACTTAATTCATTCTTCAAGACAAGTACAAAATTTGTCACTGACATTTAGCGCCAGCCGTAGGCAATGGATAAAATGAACTAGTTAGCAATTTAACCTGTAAAAAAACAGAGTGGGATGAACAATTTTCTGCCATCAAAGCAAATGGCTAACATTTAGCAGGATTTTATTTTTATTTTTCAGCCCATCCCATCTTCAAGAAGAAAGAAGTCAGGCTAACATTTTTTCAGGGTCCTAAATCTTCCTCTCAGCCTATTCCTTTAATGGTTTCAAGTAAATGACTATCCAGAGGATAATTAGGCACTGTGCTGTCGCATCGTGTCAGGTCACAGCTGGATTTAGTCAGCATTAACCTTTGGGGAGAATTGGAATATCAGTATCATTTAAAATTAAAGACGTGTAAGCAGGCATTTCTGGAGATGTTAGAAAAGTAATTGTCTGTAAATTGTTTGACCTTGAGATTTAATTGCATGCACAACACACATTCTAGCAAGAGCCCTGGACTGTCTTCATTCTTTTACCTCCAAACCTCTCACTCCACAGGGCCCATTAGGCTACCTGTGGCTTTATCAGTAAAATATTAAAGATTTTGGCCTTCAATTTAAAAAAAAACCTTTGAAGCATTTCTCAGTATACTAAAAATTTAAAGCAAACATGCTTATCAATCAGAATACCAATTTTA
Source organism: Homo sapiens (assembly GCF_000001405.40). NCBI lineage: Eukaryota > Metazoa > Chordata > Mammalia > Primates > Hominidae > Homo > Homo sapiens. The sequence continues at coordinate 97,461,072 of NC_000006.12, read as the reverse complement.
CTACATATTTCTAAAAGCATACATACTATAGTCATGTTTGAAAGCTAAGTTTAAATCTCATCCACCCCCCTTCTTTTCTGCTAACAAGTTTGCATATTTTGCCTTATTCCCTTTTTCCCTAATGAGACAGCTTATGCTTTCAAAGTCCCTCAAGCTAGGCAAATCTCTGCACCGCTTCCACTGTTAATAATGAAACTTCGTAATTATACAAATCCAAGGTGGCCAATCAGCTTTCCAGGCTGAACCTTCGGGTACCTCATAAATTATTCATGTGACACTCAGGCCTGTGAACTCACTTGCTTATATTAGAAGCCTAATTAATATTTAATCACACGTGCAGAGGGCACTTGGAGCTGCACTGTCCCTGAAAGAAGGGTAAATATAAATGTGCATATGCCTCAGTGTAAATCTCATTCAGTAGAAAAAGGAAGTGTCGATGGACATGCGGAAGTGACCATGAAACACACTAGGGATGATCCAGGCAGTATGATTCACCTCTCTTGAGCCTACTACATGCCAGGCACTGTGTGGGACCCTGAGAAGAGGAAGTCACAATCCCCATCCCCCACATCTCCTACGAAACCTTTCTTTCCAATCAAGGAATTTCAAAATTTTGACAGGTAAATATTGTCTTTTCAAATTTTAAATGGAAAAAAGAAATTGAACATAGTTATCCATTAGTCTAGAAAGGGATGATATGCATCCATATTATCAAAGGATATTTGGCTTTGGATAGTTTTCATTTTGTTTCTTAAAAGGCAGCAATACTGTTAAACAGCAGAATACCTCTGTAACCTTTTCTGGGATTTCACTATATTTTTTCTCCAGGGGAATGAGCTAGAAAAGAGAGCCAAACATTATCTGGCTTGGCAGGCTTACAGATGACTACTGTTTAGTGGAATTATGCTATGTTGTACTAAGAAAAATAAAATATGTTCTTTCAAGGGATGAGGTGAGAAAAAGACCGATAGCTAATCATGGTACATCAGAAGTCTTTAAAATGATGAAACAGACACTGAGAAAGAAGCATGAGCTGGGTCCACAGACCTAAGTGTTGCATAGCACTGGCACTGCCACCCTGTGAGATCTCTACTCCCAGATTACATGGCTTTGAAAGTACAGCCAGTGGCATTGTTTCTAAAGGTCTCTTCTGTCTTTGATGACATCTCCGTTCCACCAGAAATTACTCTATAACTTTCCCCTGGAGCCACTATGCCACTATCTTCACTGTCTGCAACAGCACATTAAGAGTCAATAAAGAAACAAAGTGTATAGTTCTTTGGGCAATTATATTGCAGTAGCCCCAACACTTCACAAAATGATTGTTCTGGGACCCTTTAGTGGGTGTCACGTGATGTGATAGTATTCCTTTAACCAAATGCAAAAATGGCAAAGAGTGACAGATGCTTTATGTTAACCCTAGGAAATGATATCACTGACAGCCCTGTTATTTTTTATTTATTTATTTATTTATTTATTAGAGAGACGGGATCTCACCCTGTCACCCAGGCTGAAGTGCAGTGGCACCATCATAGCTTACCATAGCCTCAAACCCCTGGCCTCAAGCAATCCTCTGCCTCAGTCTCCCAAAGTGCTGGTATCACACACATGAGCCACCTCGCCCAGCCCACCCTGTTATTTTCTTTTACACCCTAAATTAGGATGTGCCCAAATGGGGTCTTAATAGCTCAGAGTTAACAGTTAGTAGAAATAATGGTTGCAAACACCTAATTAGGACTCCTACTAATATTGCTTCTTCCTAGCCAATAGGAACACTTCTACAGATGTGAGGAACATCCATGATAAAATCCTGTTGCCTTTATCCTGGTTTGTCTCAAATAACCTCACCTAATCTTCTGCGTTCCCAAGGGCACCACTGCTAAGGAACCCTTTATCTCAGGTTGCATAGTGTCCTGATTGACTCTAATTCTTTATCAATACATTGCTTTGGGAGTATGTAAGAAACTGTACGTAGATACAAACCATATAGACCAATGAAGAGTATGCCTTAAACATGGGAAGACAAATAATGATTGGTCTATAATACAATGAAGTTGAGTCCCTAAAATCTGAGTTCATATTTCAGCTCTTTTGATTGCTATATGGCTTTTGAGAAGCTACACATTCTCCTCAAGTCTCAGTTTTGTCATCTATATATACAATGAGTTTGCTTATATATATATATTTATATATATATATGTATATAAAAGATTAAGATAATGTACATAAAGCATTCGTTAAAGTTCCCGGCATACAAAAGGCACTCAGTCATGCTAGATAATATACACTTATCAGGACCCACAATTCAATCATTTGTTCATTCTTACCCCAACCCTCTGCTAATTGGAATATCATAAAAGATAACCAGAAACTATGGTACCTATTTATCAAGAGAATGGCGGATTATCTCTTGGGCTCTGTTTTCAGCAAGATTCCTAATGAGATCCATTGCTTTCCAAAGTTGCTCTGGATCAGGCTATTACCAGCAAATAAAGAGAGGAGAGGGCATGGCCATAATATCCTGTACTATTAGGAAATCATTTCATACCATCTGCAGCCCCTGATTCTGTGCAAACTTTGTTCCTCAATAATTACAGCTTAACATTCAGTAGGAATTGTGACTCTGGGAAGTTAAGTTTGGATTAAGACAAATTATAGGGTGTGTTAGGCTACAACTCAGGGTTTTTTCTGGGGATTAGGAGAAATGAGAGAAATGGAGGTAAACTATACACAAATACTCCTCCTGGCCCCCGGCTCTGTTTTTGGAAAAATCTTGAGAAATCACAAGGTGTAGAATCTAGCAGTCCTAGGTGTGCCACCAACTCTGGGATATGGATGTAACTGAAAGCCCAATTATATGATAGAGCTGAGGCTGTTCAAGCACTTTATGCCTCAGTGAGGACTACCTCTAAAAGGGGGAGGGTTTAAGCTTGCAGGTGGTGGGAGAGGTGGGAGGTGTGTGGAAAGCAGTGGACTCAACTTTGAAAAGCTACAGATGGTAGGGAGAACAGAAGCAGAGGACCTGAGGTTGGACTGTCCATAAAGGTACATTCTCATCAATTCAATGACATCCAACCTTTTTAAAAATATATACCCACAATCAGGCAATCCTCTAACACATCCTTCCAGAGGTACCATATTTAGCAAATAAGTAAAATTATCCAAACTACCACTGCATGGCAGGCTGGTGTCCAGTGGTCACATAGTGGTTAGGCACAAAGCCTAAAATTCCCAATCAAAATTAAATTTTACTTCCAATGTTCACCTCTAATACTATTTCTGACTCTCTAACAACAGCCCATCTGACATCTTGCTGGCATTACATGTAACTGATATTCTATCTCCCATCTCACTCCATAACCCTGGATAGCATTTGTCAAAGGTTGGTCCAGGAACAACATGCACCAAAATCACCAGGGCTATCAGCCTGAAGCTTACATAATTTGGTGAAGTCATTTTAGGGAAAAGAAAAGAATATTTGAATTAAAGTTAGATACAAATGTGACTATTTAGCATGAGAAAATAAATCACAACAAATTATAGTTGTCCCCTCAGTATTTGTGGGAGATTGGTTCCAAGACACCCTGTGGATACCAAAATCCCCAGATGCTTAAGTCTTTTATATAAAATGGTATCGTATTTACACACAACCTAAACATATCATCCTTTAAATTGTCTCTAGATTACTTGTCATACTTATTACGATGTCTACATATCACTACATCCTCATGGATTCAACATAGTACTCCACAGACAGCAAATTAAAGATTTGATTTTTGGAATTTTGTGAAATGCTTTTTTCCAAATATTTTCAATCCATGGTACATTCCAAATATTTTCAATCCAAATATTTCAATCCAAATATAATTCAATCCATATTTGAATCCGCAGATGTGGAATGCACAGATATAGAGGGCCGACTGTACTGGAGACTTGGAAATTAAGGTCACATTAGAAAATTTACAGTGCTTGCTTAGAAACGGTTCCTAGTGGAAACCTGGTTCTCCTCTCTTTCCTCATAAAACACTCTAGAATTCTCAGTGACTTCCAGAATTCACGCAGTTAGTTCAAGTGAAGGGCCCTGCCACTTAAGTCCAGTTACCATCACAATAAATCTGCCTTTGCCTGAGATACTTCTTAAAACTGAAGATGCCTCGTATTTACCTCAATCACTAAATTAGAAGGTGCGCAGGTGGGCTCAGGAATCTCCATGTCAGCACATGCATCTCTGAGGACCACTGCTCCAGATAATAATAAAGTACTTGAAGTCAAGAATCATCTTATTCACCTATGTCATTCCCTTTGCATATAGTAAGTTCCTAGCCTACAGCAAGTGCTCAACAAATATGTTGAATTACAAAGTCATTTATGAATGTGTTTTACTACCTTACGATATATTTCTTTGAATCACTTCAGCAGTTAGAACCATGTCCTGAATGTATTGGGCCCTCAAGAAACAGTGGAATAAACTGCAATAAAAGCATCTAATTTGGAAAACTGTGCCCACTTGTAGAAAAACTGGTTTGTGTGTTCATAAAAATGATATAATTCTTTTCAGAAAAAAAGAAAAATTTGCCATAGCATATACAGTGTTGAAAATCTCAAGCTCTATGTGTATATACACATCTTTTTACTCTCCCATATTTGTCAACAATATCAATGACAACATTTAAGAGATTGTATGGGAAAACAAGGAGCATGCATATGCCTAACTGTACAGCTCAAGTGTCTGAAACTTCCCGGGGTGTCCAGCAAGTAAGGCAGTTGTGCAAAGGGCAAAGCGAGCTGTGAGTAACTCAGAGCCACAGCTCCTCTGCTCCTCCCGGTGGTAACCATGTTGGAATCAGCCCATTAGGGCCAGACTTTTCAAGAGAAGCTGGAAACCAAATCATTATAAGAAATCACTTAATTTTTAACTGCTCTTGATAACTAACACAAAATTTTAAAAGGCATTGAGTTGACTAAACAAAACATGTCTGCAGGCCATCAAAATAAAATATCTAACAGAGAGTATTTGTAGATAACAATGAAGTTAGAAATAAATATCCATATTACAGCCTCTTACTGTGTGAAAGCTCCCTAACTAGACTATAAGCTTATCAATAACACTTTTTATATATACATCTTTGAGCACAGGGCCTTCCAGAAATATTTGATTCACTGTTGAATCCTAAGTACCTAGTATTCTACCAGGTATAATAAATAGGTATGGAATGAATGACTGGAGCAGGACTGATCAACCTTACAGATGAAATTCAAGAACATATTACTAGGGGAACAAAGCAAGCTGAAAAAATGTTGACAGAGTATTGTTCCATTAATTCAAGTTTAAATATGTATAACACAATAATATAGAAAGTTTACAGATTCACATATATGTAGAATAAAACAAAGACAAACAGAAATGATGAACACAATTTAGAATACTGGTTACCTCTCAAGAAAAGTGTATCAGGATTGTGAAAGCACAAGGAAAAGTGTATATCTGTAATTTTTCTCTCTTAAGTTTGGGTGATTAATACGTGTTGTTAATTATATCCTTCTTAATGTTCTACATTACTGAAATACTTCATAACAATTATTTAAATAAACTTTTTGTTTTGGAATAATTTTAGATTTACAGGTTGCAAAATTAGTACTTAAGAGTTTCTGTTCCTTGACCCAGTTTCCCCCATCTTACATTAGTTAATATCTTACGTTAGTATTGTATAATACATTTGGGTCAAAATGGAGAAACTAATGTTAGTACATTACTACTAACCAAATGCCAGACTTTGTTTGGCTTTCACCATTTTTTCCCGTTAATGTCTTCTTTCTGTTTCAGGATCAAATCCAGAGTACCACATTGCATTTAGTTGTCAAGTCTCTCCAACCTGTGACAGTTTCTCAGTCTTTCCTTGTTTTTCATGACCTTGACAGTCTTAAGCAGTACTGGCCAAATATCCTGTAAATGTCCCCTGTTTGGGCCTTTTCTGTTATTTTTACCATGGTTAGATTGAGGTTATGGGCTTTTGAAAAGGAATCAACAGAGGTTAAGTGCCCTTTTGTCATGTCACATCAAGGGTACATGTTCTCCACATGACAACATGATTAATGGTAACTTTCATCACTTGGTTAAGATAATGTTTTCCAGTATTCTCCACTGTAAAGTTACTGTTTTCCTTTTGCTCACTCTATGCTTAGGAAATGATTCACTACGTCTAGCTTACACTCAAGGGGAAAGAGTGGAGGGCAAGGGGAGTAGGGGGCAGAACTGAACTCCACCTCCTGTAGAAGGGAATATCTACACATATGTAATAATTTTATTGAATAGAAAATTTTTGAGAAAAGGAGAACAGGAGACTTAAGGATTGAGAATTATACTCCTAGGAAACGTCCTATGACCTGTGGAAACAATAGTACTTCCTATTTTTGGGATAAATGCACATGCACATTCCAAATGTCAAAACAGTCTCTTCCATAACTTATTTCTTCCTTTAATCATTCAAAGAGTAATAAATTTTCAGGTAACTAGTCTCTAAGCCTAGATACTAATACTTGCTTTAATAAACATGTAATAGTTTTATTTAAAGGAAAATTTTCCCCATAAGCTTTGGACTACCTATTGTATACAAGAGAATGGACTGGCACTGTGAAAAATTTCTTCTAAAATATGCACAATGTTTAGTTCCTGCCCACCAAGAAGGCTACAATCTGGCATAAAGGGAGAGGGCTTGGGTAGTTTGAAGACAAGTGCCATACAACAATAGCCTACATCATACTGGGTTTATTGCCATAAAAGAAATACTAATTCAGTGGTACATGGATTTGGAAGAGGAAAAAATGAAATCCAACTGAGAGGTATCTAGTGAGTCTGTGTTCCCTGTGTATCATCTCTAGAAAACTCTCATCTCTTTTCAAAGAGGCACAATATCTGAGATTTGGAGTCTTGATCAATTTCAGTGTTAAGTTCCACAAAAGATAGCCATAGGAAACAAAATCAACATTGCTATAAATATAACCAATGCCAGAGCAGAGAGGGTAGAAAGTGGAATACAAAAAAATTACAAGAAAGAGAGAAAGATTAAAATTCTTCACTGTATCAGTCTACTGCCCAAAAAACACTGGACTGTCTCCTAGTTGTTAATATATCAATCCCCTGCTCAGCTCTGTGCCAATTTGTATTATCATACTTCTCCTGTCTCATTTCTCACCAGTCTCAACATGGCCCAACCGCTTCTGTTACTTCAACAGCTTGTTCTACTCTGCTTTCTGCTCAGTTTCCAACGTGGGGCCTCCAAGCCCTGTATATTGGTCAGGACCCTTTCATTAGAAACAATTTATACCTTCAATTTAAATAAACACAAGTTAAAAAAGGATAGGAGGGGTATTGGCTCACATAATCAAAAATTTGGGGCAAGATCAGGACACTGTCTCTGACCCTTGGCTCTGATTTTCTCTCTGGTTATTCTAAGGGAGGATCTCCCATCATATTGCTCCCTGGCTGCTCCAGGAACACATCATCACAGCCTAACCATCTCAGAAGAAGGCTCTTTTTCAATCAAAACTTCAAGATTGAGTCTAATTTGCTAATTGGCCAAGCCTAGATCACATGCTCACTCCTGATTTGGGAAAATGTAGGGTAGACAGCCATCATATTCAAATAATCAGGATAAGAGATAAAAGAGTGATGATTCCCCAGGTAAGATAAACATGTTGTTATCATAAGAAGGTAAACTGAGGGTCAGGCGCAGTGGCTCACACCTGTAATCCCAGCACTTTGGGAGGCCGAGACGGGCATATCACTTGAGGTCAGGAGTTCGAGACCAGCCTGGCCAATGTGGTGAAACCCCGTCTCTACTAAAAATACAAAATTAGCCAGGCATGGTGGCGTATACCTGTAATTCCAGTTACTTGGGAGGCTGAGGCGGGAGAATCGCTTGAACCGAGGAGGTGGAGGTTGCAGTGAGCCAAGATTGCACCATTGTACTCCAGCCGGGACGACAAGAGTAAAACTACAACTCAAAAAAAAAAAAAATTCAAATTAAAAAAAAGAAAACAAGAGAAAAATAAGTATTCATTGGGCAAAAACAATTGTGTCTACCTTATTCTATCTATGTCATTTCCTAAGTAAAATTGACTTGTTTATCTCATTTACCTCCTTGGACAACTCCCTGCTCTGTGCTGTTTCTTCGTGTTGCTGTCTCATGAAATTTGTCAACTGATCTACCATTTTTTTTAAGTTTTACTTACCCTTCAATAACCTGTTTACCTGTCACCTTTTTTGTTAAGGCTTCCATTAATGCACCAGTCATGTAATTGCTCCATGATTCCATAACATGCACTTGTTCTTCTATTTAGTATTTATTCCATTCCACCAAATATTAAGGTAATTTGTTTAATAGAAATTCTTCGAGAGCAGAGAGGGTGCCATATACATCTTGGCTTTACTTGTCTCCAAGCAAAGTGCCATATACAAAAGAATCATCTGTTAAACATTTGCTGAATTAGAGATCATCCAAATCCTTTCTGCCACAAAACCCCTTCCCTATTAATTCTTTCTTACTTTGATAAGCCATTTGTTCTGAATTCCTCTCCATATTTATATGTACTTTGATGCTGTCAGCTCCGCCGGCCTCTAGATCTTACAGAATCTAACTGATCCTCATTAGTGGGGTCAGCTTTGTCCCAGTCCCTAAGTCTATGCTAAATTGAAATGGAGGAACTTAAAGCATTTCAAACAAATATGGAGAATAACATTAAACTAGTCCAGTTCCCCTTCTGTTCAAGCTTCTGCCTTAATGACTTATGTGATACACATTTCTACCAGAGCTAATTCTGTATATGATCTATGGAACACAAGGTTTGCATGTGCTATGGTTTCAGTGTGACCCCCAAAAGTTCATGTGTTGGAAACTTGGTTGCCATTATGGCAGTGTTAAGAGGTGAGGCCTTTGGAAGGCAATTGGGCCATGAGGGCTCCATTCTCATGAATGGATTAACGCCATTATTGTAAGAGTAGTTTAGTTACCACAGGAGTTTGGCCCCCTTTTCTTCTCTGTCTCATGCATGAGTTCCTGCCTTCTGCCCTTCCACCATGGAATGACCCTCACCAAATGTCAGTGTCATACTCTTGGACTTTTCAACTTATCTACCATACTCATGGTTCAGCCTCCAGCACCATAAGCTGAACAAACTCTTTTTCTTTATAAATCACCCAGTCTGTGGTATTCTGTTACAGCAACAGAAAATAGACTAAGACAGCATATATAATAAGCATGCCAAAGCTTTAGAGCCAAAAGTTGCATGACCTCAAGTAAATTACTTAAACTGAGTCTTATTTGTTCATCTGTGAGAGGCATTTTTAATTTTTCTTGAGACAGGGTCTTACTCTGTCACCCAGGCTGGAGTGCTGTGGTACAATCATGGCTCACTGCAGCCTTGACCTCCTGAATTCATGGGATCTCTCAGCCTCAGCTTCTCATGTAGCTGGGACTACAGGCCCATCCCACCATTCCAGGTTAATTTTTTTTGTAGAGATGGAGGTCTCACTTTATTGCCCAAGCTGGTCTTGAACTTCTGGGCTCAACCAGTCCCCCTGCTTCAGCTTCCCAAAGTGCTGGGATTACAGGCTGGAGCCAATATGTCTGGCTTAGAGAGGGGTTTTTTAAATGCTTAATTTCACTGAGATTTTAGAAGTATAAAATAAAATAACAAATATAGACAGTCAGGGATAACATCTGCTATATGAGAGATACTCAACAAGTGTTAATAGTCTGTGCTAAAGTCAATAGACCAGTTGACCTACCTTCCCTTTTCCTCCATAAAAATCTTCCCATGAAAGAATCTTGCAGAGATATGCTCAACTGTATGACCCAAAATCATATTAGGTGACTGAAAATTTAATTGCTATAATCCAATGACTTTTTGGAAATCCCAATTGAATGAGATTTTTTCTACAAAATCCAAGCCAAAGAAAAGTCTATGTCCTAAACTGACTAAACCTCTATCTTCCTTCATTATCCTAAAATCCTAACTAGTCATGTCCCCAGAATTATATAAATGGCCTCTCTTTATACTGCAACCTCAAATTATTTCATAATTGCTTTTTTCTAAGACCTAGAGCTAGGGTTCATGTCTTACTTAAATCCATGTTTTGCTTAGCTCAAAAACAGAACTATGGGCTACAATCAATACCAAGTTCTATATCTAGGACCCATACGAATATGGCAACTAAGGATCTCAAGGACTCCCCTAAATATCTTTGGGATAAATATTAGGATATTAATATTAGGATATTAAGGAGTCACTTAGGAGTCACTTAGAGAAGGTAAAAAGTCATAAAATCATTATGTGATTACTGTTTTACTTTTCATGATAAAATATAGGAAATACAAAGAGCTATTATTATCTATTACTCCCAGAAAAAGAATGAATCAGTACATAAGAAAAGAGAATGTAACTTCTGAAAAGCCCCTCTATTTAGAAATAATGGGTTTTTTCAATGTTTTAATAGGAATTATGGATTTATTATTTTGTATTCAAAATAAACAAATATAAATTAGCAATTAGATAACACTGCATGTCCATAATATGTGTCCTGAAAAAAAATTTAACTGTTTAGAACAAATACTTTTTGTTGAAGAGATGGCTACAGGCTGCGGATAAAACACATCTGCATCCAAATCTCTTCCAAGGCAAGCTGTGTCAGCTCCAGGGCCCAGGACTGTTTGGACTATCAAAGATACCGCCTTTAGTAGAGGATGCAAAGAACTGCGTTGGCACTGCATTTGATGAGGGACTAAATTGAGAGTGAAAGCCTCTGAATAGTAATGGTATCTGCATAAAATGTTTACAGGAGAAAAAAAGAAGAGAGAGAGAGGGAGCATGAAGCCAGAGAGGGTTAGGCTAATATGCAGATGCTGACTGCTACATTTTTACAGCATTTGCCAGTCCTTGGTGGTCTGGACCTTTGTTTCAGGGAACATTCATGGAAAAAGAAGACTCAGTCTAGGCCTCTTGCTTGGTGAAATGTCAGAGCAGAGATCCAAGAAAAATAATAAAACCAGGACCCTAGAAAATAACACCCTGAAAAGATTAGCTAAATAAATCTTTGCCACAAAGGGAGACAGTAAGAAGGCTTTATCAAGAGATACACTGAAATATAAAATCATGGGAAAGCTGAAAATATAATGGAAAAATACTCTGGGTGTGTAGGAAGTAACCAGGATTTACTAGAAGGACTCACAGGACTCAGTATATAGCCATGCTCATGGCTAAGATTTATTATAGTGAAAGGATACGAAGCAAAAGGAAATCAGGAAAGGGAAATCAGCAAGGGGAAAAAGCACATGGGCAAAGTCAAGAGAAAAGCAAGCACAAGCTTCCAAGAGTTCTCGCCTAGCAGAGTCACACAAAGCACACTTAATTCCCACAGCAATGAATTGTGACAGCTCATGTGAAATGTCATCTACCAGGGAAGCTTATTTGAGATGCAGTGCCTAGGGACTTAGCTGGGGCTGGTTATGGTAAAGCTTCTCCATATTGATCTACAGATTTACCAAAATTTCAATCAGAATATAAACAGATTTTTTCACTAAATTTGAAAATTGTATTCCAAAAATGTATGCAGAATATCAAAAGGCCAATAACAGCCTAAATATTGCAGAAGAAGAACACGGTCAGGGAACTTGTTTTACCAGTTACATAGAATTACTTAAACCTGTAGCAATTAAGACGGGTGGTATTGGCAAAGAGATATACAAATTTATCACCAGAATAAGGAACCCAGAAAGAGTATCAATACATAGTGAATTGTGATTTAAGACAGAGTTGACTTCTTAGTTTATTTAAAAGGGTGATCACTTTAATACATGGCATGGAAATAGCTGGTTTTCTATATAGAAAAAAAATGGAATTTAACTGTTAGCTATACCAAACAGAAAAGTTAATTCCAGATGGATTCAGTAGTTGAATGTATAAGACAATACTCTATAACACTTAGAAGAAAATATAGGAGAATATCTACAAGATTTCAGACTAGGGAAGTTTTCTTATATAACATCCAAAAAGTACAATTAATAAAAGAAAAAGTTGGTAAATCAAGAACTATTATTCATCAAAAAATACTATAAAGAGAGTAAAATACTAAGCAATGACAAATGGAAAATACTTACAGAATATTTAACCAACAAAATACTCATATAGGAGGGTAGGTAATCCTAGTTGAACACATTTAAAATCAGCTTAAAAAATCTCATTTTAAAAAAACTGGCAAAGGCACTTATAGGAATGTAACAAAAAGAAACACTAATGGCCAATAAGTATATAAAATTATAGAGAAAATATAAATTTAAATAATGAAATATTATTTATACCCATTTGACTGAGAAGAAAAAGTAGTCTGACAATATCAGGATTTCTTGAGGTCGGGGATTTGCAGATAATTTTATATGCTGCTGAAGGGCATAACTACTCTGGAAAATTATTTGCATTATTTAGTGAAACTGAAGATACATATTCCTTTTGATGCCAAATCCACTTCCAGTGAAACGTTTTAACAATTTCATCTTGAAACATGCACATGACTGTCACAGCAGCACTGTTAATATATCCACATACATGCAAAAAATCTGTTGACAGTTAAATGTATGAATAATGAATTTGGTATATCCACGCGATGAAATACTACACAGCAGGGCAAATGAGCAAAGTACAGCTGTACATATCATAATGTTAAGTGAAAGAGCAATTCACATGAGAACACATACAGTATAATTCCATTTACACAGAACAAAACTAAAAGTTATATATACTTTAGAGGTGTCTATATATGTGCTAAAACCATAAATAAAGGCAAAGGCATAATTAGTTACCTTGGGTTGTGGGTAGGAGGATGAAGACAGCAGGATCATCATGTAGCAGGGCTTCAAATTATGTGACACTCTAATGATCTGGGAGCAGGGAGGAAACTAGCATGGTGCTGTGGAGGAATAGCAAGAATAACAAAGTGTCTGGAAAATACGGCACCCAGAAAAGAGCAATGGGGAGTAAAGTCACAGAGTGAGGCAGGAGCATGGTCATGTGGAGCCCTGAAAACCAAGGAAAGGGATGGAATATATTTCGAATATAAAGAGAAGCCTCTGTAAGGTTTTGAGTTGGTGTAGGGCAATTTGATGTTTGTTTTTTAAACACTCACTCTGGCTATATGTGAAATACAACTGCTTAGGAGCAAGAGATGGACACCAGAGGCCAGTTAGGAGGCTGGTTCAGTATTATAGGCAAGAAACAAAGTGTCTTAGACAAGAGTGGTAGCAGAGGTAGTAAAAAGTGATCAAATTTGGGGATTTATTTGAGAGTAGAGAACTTGCTTATTATAAAATTTGTGCCAAAGTTGAAAACTCAGATCAGACATTACCTTTGGGGTTTTGAGCAAAGCAACCAGATGAATGGAGATTCCATTTATTGATGTGGAGACCACTAGAGGAAGAGCAAATTTGGGAATGAGTGGGAATTGAGAATTCAGTTTAAGGAATGCCACCTGAGACACCCATTCAACAACTCAGTGGAGATGTTGTATATGCCGTTGGATATACCAGTCTGAATCTGAGAGGAGAGGTCAGGATATATGCCACATTTCATTTATTCTATGACACACTCTTTTTCACTATTTTAACATCTTTGAAATGGGGACATGTCTCACAATCAATAATATCTTACAGAGAAATGGCAACCTTTTTTTTCTCCTTAGTAGTATACAAAATAATGGTGCATCAGAAGTCAGTTTCAGAATCAGTGTCTTAGTTTCTTTGGATTATAGAATATGTGAAAGATACCAGCATAAAGATGTCATTGAAGCCATGAAACTGTGAAATCACCTAATAAGTAAGTATAGGCAGAGAAAAAAAACAGGAGAAGGATGAGGGAGTAGGGACAGAGCCCTGGGGCATTTAAAGGCCTGGAAAAGGAGGAGAAGCTGGCAAAGGAGAATAGAAAGGGTGGCAGTGAGTCAAGGAAAAAGGTAAGAGCCAGTGGTGTCCTAAAAATAAAGACAATATTTCAAAAAGGAGGGAGGGTGTGTTCTGTTGTTTCAAATGTTGCTGAAAAGATAAAAACTAATGAAGACTGAGAATAAAGAAGAAATAATGAAATTCTAGTTCTCAAGTGAAGAGTAGTTCAGAAGAATAGCAGGGACAACAGCCTATTGGGAGGTGCATGAAAGAATGCGAAGAAAAGCAATTAGAGCCAATGGTGTTCTAAAATCATTTAGTAAACTTGTCTTTTATTTTGTTATTCCAACTAGAATAGAAGCTTCCTCAAGGCAGGGATCTTTATTTTGTTTGTTTGTTTGTTTATATCCTAAGAACCTAAAATAACATTAGACACTCCATAAACATTTGCTGAATTGAACTCTTTCCAGGACTTTTGCTATAAAATAGAGCAGAGAAATGTAGCAATAGCTGAATTTGATAGTCTTTTACGTAGAGAATGAGTGACATTCTGGTAGCTTTCTATCACAGAACAAAAACTGCAAATAAAAGGTATTATAGGGCAGATTTGAGCTCAAAACAAGCAAGAAGAAAAGAAAGAAACAATTTGATTCTTAAAATATCCCAAAACAGAGGCTGCCTTTTGCAGGGTGGTAATGAGTGTACTATCACTGGCCCGAACAAATAATAAGTTATAAAACAGTACCAGAGAATGCTGAGTTTTCAGACAGGATGAGGGAATTATAGGACAAAAGGTTGAACTGAAGTACCTTTTAACTTTAAAAATTTTCTTTTTAGAGTCACAGCATTTTTAAATCACAAACTCATCTCATCCTCTCACCTGGGGCATTCTGAGCCATCATTCTCTGTTGGGGAATGCAAATGTACAAAATTAAAGTCAAATCAAAATATAATTTAAAAGGTAACTTTCATATGAAAAATAATTTTTTGCATTTCAACACCAATTTCATTTATTTATGTGCAATTGCATTATTGCGCTAACATACATAACTGAGAGTTATTTTTAAAAAGAATGAAAGGCAAAATTCTGTTATATTCAGAAAATTGTACAATTACATCTGTTTGAAATATCTTCCAATCTTTATTACATGAGTCTCATAACTATTTCAAAGAAAAATCAACTGTATTACAAAAAACTTTTACTACTATTCCAGTAGTTCATCCAATAAGTGGTAAAATCCCTGAACTGAACTTCAATACTAATCTATTTAATCCTGACTCTGAAGCAGTCAGAATAATTTCAATGAACTATGAGTTAAATTTTGACTGTTTGGTAATATCTCATAACTTTTACTTAAATATTATTAAATAACATTAATTCTCTAAGATACCATTTAAACAAAATGAAACTTTTCACATTATTAATGTAAAGCACAGTAAAAGTTATCAAATTGTCCTTGGATTCTGAAATATGTCCTATAGCGTGTTGTAGCCAATCTGTTCAGAAATCCTTCTGCTGATTTTTCTCTGCAGGCTGGCTGCAGAGCCAGGAATAGGTTAATGAAATGCATGCGAGGAATGAAAAAACAAATTATAAGTGGTAATTCAGCCACTAAACCTTCGCAAGGCTGGGGGGAAATAGGAAAATAAAGCTAATCTTATTTCATTTTACTTAACATACTCAAAATGTCACCTCATAAATCCTATTTTCTGTTTCCATAAAGAATCTGTGTTAGAACTATTGTTTATTAAAAGTTCTGCTGCCATATGGATAACTTAAAAAAAAACTCCCTTCAACCCTGTACTATGTGCAAATATCCAGCAATTTTACATTCATGGTTTAAATTTTTAATTTAAATTCTCTTCATTTCCTCACAAATCAACTTGGTGCACTATGTAAAGAAACTATGTAAATATCAGGACCTTGAACTTTGGTACAAGAACTTCCCTCAAAATATATTTATATGAACCACAAACAATTCAGAAGATATTCCTACTGAAATCATACTTCCAACTAACAGCATTTTGTTTTTTAGAATTTCTTTGAAGGCTCAGAGACTGGCTTAGATTTTTAGCCTAGCAAATTAATAATGTACTATAAAATTTGAGAGTGCTATCATAAAATAAATTCGGAACTCCACATGCAAGCTCCTATATTAAAATACATTGGGATATATTAAGAAAATAAAGTATATCAGCCATATTCTAAATATACAAACAAGCAACATAGGGATACCTAGCTAACAACAATGCAATATCCAAATGAATACTAAAAGACTGGATCCATAAAGTTATGAAGAACTCTGCAGTATTCACGATTTTAAGACAGAATGTGCTGCCTTTGAATTAGAGCAAAATAAGGCTCCTAAAAAAGTTGAAATGATCAATACTAATTCTACAGAAATATAATAGAGGTCTAAATCACTAAAAACAAATCATCATCTGAAATACAGCCAACACATTCTAATGTTTTTCTTTAAAAATATATTCTTCTCCTTTTCCTTTCTTCGTGAATTAATGAGTCAAACTCATGAAATCTCTACACAGTGACCCTTCATTTTTATCTTAAATTTTAAGAAAATGAGAAAATTTTGATGTTACCACTATCTTTTCATCTGAACCTTTGCATAGTGCTATTATTCCATGACCTAATTTAGTGATAAGAGATTCTGCTTCTGTGTCTATTTAAAAGTTCAGATAGAATCAACTCAGAAAACATATATGAATTTCTTTAAAAATATACTAGCACTTTCAAATCTGCCTTCTAATATTTGCATTGTAAAGTACAATCCCTTTAATCAAGCACAACTTACAACAACAACAACAACAAACACAAGTTTTGAAAAATATTTTGGTTGTATCAGATTTCTTAAGAGCCTTCCACAGAAAGTTCCAAGTTCCTATCATAGAGTTTAAAGTGTTTTCATCATAGGAACTTTAATGTTAACATCCTTAGAACTCAGTGAAAGACAATGACCATATTGTAAGAAAAAAAAATCATTTATCTTTATTTTTGTATTAAATCATTATTCTGCTTGAGGCTTAAGAGATTTATTTTTAAACTTCTGAATATAGAAGAATACTAGGTTAGCAAATTATTTTGGAAAAAGTAATTTTAACACATTCCACATAAATGGGCTTTTGGAGAGTGAATTTAAATTTTCCTACTGTGCCGCTAAGCACCTTTGTATTAATAAGCAAAAGAAAAGAAACTGTCTACTACAGCAGTCAAAGTATCCTTTGGTTGCTCTATTGCAGGATATGTAGAGCTTATGTAAAGGGCTACCAGGCTACCAGGCTTTCAAAAACCTGTAACTCAAATTCTAAAGTGAGGCCAAAGATCACCTACCTCTACGTGTAAACCTAACTTAAATTCTAAGAAAAGGCTAAAGATCACTTCTACCTGTAATCATTTGAACCTGATTTCTCATTTGTACAAATGAAAAAGGCTTTTTAAAATATTGCTGTTAAATGTATCATTTCAAAACAAGGCCATGCTACATCTGGGGAGCCAGGGAAGTAGAGGCCGTGATGAAGAATGGAAAAAAAAAAAAAAAAAGTGGCTTTCCTGACTTTCTTAGCCCCTGGTACTTGAGTTGAATAAATAACAATAGGGCAATTCTGTAGTCTTTGAGTACACTAAACTTTTTTAACCCATGTTAAAAAAAAAAAAAAGCCAAAAGTCAAGCTAAATTATATTTCCACCCTTAAAATTGTCACGACGTATTTAAAGATATCAGCCTTTAATATCACATACAATGGACTACCTTTAATTATCCAAAAATGATGTGTGCTATTTTTTCATATATAAAACTCCCATTTTACCAGGAATATAGGCCAAATAGGTTTAATTATTCTGTTATGAGTAGTAATTAAAGTGTTAGGATAAATACCTGATAAATAACAAATCAGTCTAAGTTTTGAGCACTTTAGTTAGTTTGTTTTTTAATACAGATAATTGACTACAGAATTAAATCGCAAACTGAAAAATAGAAATCACCCATGTATTATCATTCACCTCACAGCTAATCTTTGCTCTTCCTAATTTTTCTTTCTGCCAGTAATTCAAATCCATGAATCTCTAAGATAGTTAACCTTTAAGGAAAGGATTTTTGTCTTTGTCCAGAATTTTAACTTAGCAAAAGAGAAAAATAGGACGTGAAGTCAGACGATCTGGGACCAAGCCTTGGCTAGGTAATAGAGGTAATCACTAAATTCTTAAAATTTTAAGTCTCTTCTCTGTAAAATGGGCCTAGCACCACCCAGCTCCCAGTGTGATAATGAAGGTTAAATGAGATAATGTGCTGTTGGGCAAATAATTGGCAATAAATATCTTTTTACTTCCTTTAAAATAGGAATATAATTTTCTAATAGAAGTTTGCTTTTCTTTTATTGCTGGTTTTAATTTTTTCAACTTTTACTTTAGATTCAGGGAGCACTTATGCAAGTTTGTTACCTGGTTTTATTTCATAATGCTGAGTTGTTGTTTTAAATTGCATCTAAGAAAGAAGTAAATGAACCTATATATAAGTCACGTTAGAATTTATAACAAGTAAAATCAGCACCATGTACTTTAGAATCTGAGGGACAAGAAAAAGGGTTCATGTTATCTTTCAGGTTAAAAGATGCACTTGGATGGTCCAAGGGACTTGAGGTCCTATTTTTTCCCAGTTTTCTCACCTTTCACATTTCTTACTTTTATCCTAATGTCCTACTATCATATTTTCTGGATCTCATTCACATACTTTTTATAGATCATTATTCCTGAAAACAAATGAGAATTTGTTTTCAAATTCCAACCAGCCTATAGAATTGAGTGAAGTAGTCCAAGTCTAAATACAACTGATGACTGGACTTTCAGCCATATACATTTCTTAATTATTTTAAAGTAAGTTATAGATAAAGTATTAATGAAGTATTCAAAAAACTTTTATAAAATCTATTTATAAATCTAAAATTATTATACTTTAAATATAGATATGTTTTTTCCTCTTTCAGTTATAGTGTATTTTAAATATTCATTTCAGAAATACATGAATGCCAAAATTAAAATAACCTAGTTAAAATTATCACTAAAATATATACGTATATATATATATATTATATATATATATAATATATATATTCAGCTATATAACCTGAGTATGTGAGTATTTCTTTTAGGAAGCCTTTAGCCTCCAGGCATTCCTTTTAAACTCTTTCTAAGGTATGTCCATAATTATGTTCCCACAATGTGTTACAAGAAAAATATAAATTTCAATGATCTAAAATGATCATGACATCAAGTTTGAAAAATTTTTTACTACTTATGTTGTTAGTCATTAAAAAAATTATAGGCAGTTTAATTTCCAATGATTAACGAAACCACTTATACAATTTTTTTCACATTTTGGTATCAAAAACCTTTATTAAAACACTATTTTGAAAATGTATTTTCTCAGTGGCTTGTACATCCTATCTCAGAATGATTTTCTTTCATTTCCTAGAACTCTGTTTTTGCAAAGAAGATGTAAAGCTTCGTCTCAAAATTAATTATTTTAATTAAAAATAAAGTATTAGTTTTAAAGATATCTGTGACATAAACCATTGAGAATCCTTAATATACACAGGCCATATTAATATTCCTAATGTATACTGTATCATATTCTTCCTATGTATATTAGATCCTTATGGTAAATAGGAAAAGGACAGATTTGATTTAAAACAAAATAAACCATCCTTGCTTTTTTCTTAAAAGGCAAACTATTTCTTTTTAACTAGAAAGTGTTTTATAATTATCCACTTGTTCACCATCCTTAATATAAGAAAGGAAAGTGTGTATATTTATTTTACTAGTTGATAAGTTAAAACATGTCGAAAGAGTACAAATTGTGGTGTTTTCATTAGAAAATATAAATAAAAATATTAAACTCCAAAATATTTTTATTATAAATTGTTTTTAAATGTCTGCTTTCTCTATGAATTTAAAATGATTGGCTTGAGCACAATATTAAGTAAAAAATAAAACAGTTTTCCTGCCTGAAAGACTCCTGAATAAAGAGAAAATTATTTTTGGATTTCCCTCTTGATCAGATATGAAATATTCTGAAACGCCACCACTATAATTTGATAAAAAGCTTGATATCTCCAAATGAAAATAGGACTCAGCACTTTCATTTTTCTGTCTCTAAAGGAACCTGGGTAAACTGATTTTTTTTTTAAATGAAAATCTCAGGCATAAAGGTGGCAGTAATGAAGCAAGCTTAAATATGTGCTGACCTTTGAAATGAACTGCAATCCGCGTTGTTTGGCCAAGGATCTGACTGTGTTACTGTCTCCATCTATTTCTAGCATGAAAGATGTGGGGGTTGGAGCTGCTCTGCTCTCTGGTGGATGTTGACAGCATGGCTGCAAACGCAGCAGCACCGAAAGAGACAGCTACATACCAGGGATCGAAAAATTAACCACACAGCTGTCAGAGACAGAACTACAGCGCAGATATTTTCTAAAAACCTTGATGGCAAGACAAATGATAAATATGTTTCAGTTTTCTAAATGCAGTATATTTTGTGTTAAGAGGAACATTGCTGTTAGGAAGAGGAGGTAAATTGACAATATATAAAATTATCAAGTGATTTGATAAATCATTAAAAGTTTCAGCTAGTTTTCTTAGGGAGTGCACACATAGAAAAGTATACAGCCTCAAGAATCACACTTTTTGAATTAAATACATAGTGAGATTTTAAATAATTGTCAACGTTCCTGGAGTAACATTTTCTCATTATGATTTATTATTATTATTATTATTATTTTGCTTAGGATAAACAGTTCATAGATAATTAGTTTATGCAATATTGAAGGACGTGTCTCTTTTAAATAATTCCTAGGGATTCTCAGAAGCTTCAAAATACAGCCTAGCACCATCTCCTTTAGTTGTGGACCATCTAAAGGTCTGTACCTCAGTTTTATCAGCTATTAGTGGACTGCCTCTACAAATCTCACTCTTTAAAAAATGAAAAATGCATAAAAAACATGCTGAAGAACACTAAAGCTACCACAGTTTGCGATATCGCAATTAAGTGAAGTCTATATCTTTGGTATAATCTATAAGCACTTATAAGTGAAAATGGATTTCCTCATAGAAAAATTTAATACACATCTCCTTGTTCTAGTTTACCATAAACGTAGTCATCAACTCAACAGCCACTGACTAAAATCTCACATTGTGTTCAGCAACGAGGCATATTAAGTGGCAGAAGATATGGTCCTTGCAGTCAATGATTTGCAGGCTTTGAAGAGTGGTATGTATGTAAAAAAATGTTAAATGACATAAGTCAATAGTCAGTCAAGCACTCAATTGAGCATGTGGTATAGTTGCATCTGATATGAGAGAATCAAATGCTGATATTGGAATGATCCTGAATTGCCATTTCTCACTGGTGTTTTACTTTCATTTGGATCACCTATTCCAGTCTCTTAACAACAACAATAACAAAATACAGAACTTGAAAATAATATTTTCTTGTGGCAGGAATATAAAACTCAAGAATGTTGAAAGGAATGCTTCATAAAATTAGCTATACTAAAGGAAACATTATATATATGTGTGTATATATAGACATACATATATATTCCAAATCCCTGATCTAGCAATTTTTAACCTCAATAAAAAGGACTATTTCTATTCAGTAGTAACCAGAGATTTTGATTGAGTTATGCCTCCTAGAGGAAAAAATTATGAGAAACCTGGATATAAAACATTGATTTCTTTATGGTCCAGAAAAAATGTATTTAAGGGAATTTTAAGGTACATATGAGTTAAAAACTATTTATAATATTTCCTCTCTCATTCAGCAAATTTTGGATTTCCAATGTATATTCCAGAAGTCACATTCTCTAAATGAGTAAATAATACAGGCGCGACTTTTTTAAAAAGTGCCTTGTTGTACCTAAGTGCACTGCAGGACATCTGGCACATTTCATTCTGAAATGATGTTTATCCACAGAAATGCCATCAGTGGAAGATGTATTGAAAAGCTGAAGGTCTATTAAGGGAGTATGGGACAGCTGCATACATTCTGTAATCTGTATAAGGCCATGGAAATGACACAGCAATACCCCATCTGTGGCTTTGGTTTACAGAGCTTTGAATAAAAATTCAAGATCAAACTTCACTTGTTACAGAAAAGAAGAATGCTAAAAGAAAGCTGGTATTAATGGGCTCAAATATAAAGGTCTGTTACTGTTACCTTTCTCCTTAATATAAAATATTTTATGGAATTTCTACACCTTCAATAAATACTAATATTATATATTCACCCCTTAATGTTATTTGAAAAACTGCTTGTGGAGAACTACAGTTTGCACTTTTATAATTTAGGCCATTTGTGAATAGGCTTAAAACTTGCAGAAGTGCTAGGACGGAGTAGGGCAGATGTTCAAACTTCCCTATTTGGGCCTGCCAAGTCCTTCATTCTGGACCTACAATACCCCAGCCAATTCAAAACTCAATGTCTCTTAATAGAGATTACTAATCAAGCTGATTTATGTGGTAGTTTAGGAGGTGGGGTCATTCTTTTTTTAGTGGTGTTGTTTCTAAAGAAAGTTTAATGCTCACAAAAGCCTCAGATTGACAGCTCCACAAAATGGAAATTCACAGAACAGAAGTATCACATGCTAGGGGGATACAGCCACCCCTTATGCTAACCTGCCAATTCACAATTTCAACCTGCAAGGATCTGCCACCGAATTCAAGAGATTAATTCAGTCCCTGTGCCCGTTCAATCCTTTGCCAATAAGGAGGCCAATTAGTTTCAACTACACTGGTTAGTTTACTTCTGCCTTTATTTTTTTCTAACGGGGGCATTTTCTCTCCATCATTTGGATGATTTTGACCCCCAATTCATTTCAGGTTACTATGAAATGGCTGTCAATCACTTGAAACCAAAGCCTAATGTGACCCAAGGCCTGAGGTGAAAAGTTCAGTCATTAGATATTGAAACCATCCAGCTCTCTACTGTGGTGAGTTTCATACAGCTCACAGGAAAACAACAATGAAATTCATAATATTAATAAGTTCAAACTCATATTGTAAATCTCTATTTAAAAATGACAGTCAACTAATTAACACGTTTAGCTGGCCTCAGTTAACTTCCAGTCTAAAAATGTCAATTGGAAGCTTTCATTAACTCATATATATATTTCTTTTGTGCATTCATAAAATAAATATATCTCAGAAAAGTTATATTTTTGTCAAGAATTAAAATATTCACCATATTGAATTATGACTTAAATTTCATTTTAGCCTTATATTCCTAGAAAATAAAGTCTCAGTAATGCTATAAAAGTGCAATGTTACCAAAAAAAGGTAAAGATACTTCTGAGATTTTTTTAATTTAGCAAATGAAAATATTCGATGCAAATATGGTGCTACTAACACCTGAACTCCGAAGGATAGTAGAGAGATGAAAGAATAAACAAATAAATTGAAGAATAATATATTCTTAGTAGGGAGTAAATGTGTAGGATTTTTTTTCCAAAAGCAGAAATAGGTGAAATAACATTTTAATTCTTCACAAACATTTATTTCCGAAAAAGAGCTAACAGAATGGGTTTTAATATTAGGAAGGGGAACAAAGAGCCTGAGGCATCTGAGGGAAGGGGGTGTGCATGATGAAGGAGGAAGGATCACAGATGAGAGATTGATCCTGAAGGCTTCTGTTGACATTGTCTTTGTGAATAAAGCATCTACTATGCCCCCAAGTCTTCCACTTGGCACAAGGCTAATGGGATTTGCATATGCCACAATAAACAATAGGTCTTTAAACAACATGCTGGCAATGCTAGACAAAGATCGAGACTGTGATATTTGGTAAATATATTTCTGAGCTATCCGTATTTATCTCCACTAAATTCAGAAACTTCCAAGTTATTTTCTTCCCCCTGAACTGCAGTCAGGAATTCACAACGGCACAAGTTCTCTAGTCTACCCCTAGAGGGCAATAGAGAAGGCAAGAACATTGTGGTTTGTAATCCAAAAAGGTGGAGAATGGGTAGGGGGCAGAAATAAAAAAATGTTTAAAAGCAAGCAAATTTATCAGTACAGCATTTCCAAGGACTGACAGCCAATTTTATCCTCAAAAAGTACTTAGTGTTTCATAAACCAAAAAAATTAATCCTATTTCTGCTACAATCTACTATAAGTATCATTATTAATGCTTAGAAAAATATCCAGAAAGTGCAGCTTAAAGAGAAGGAACACCAACCAAAAACCACTCAAATAAAACCAAAAACTTTTTTTTTTTTTTTTTTTTTTGAGACGGAGTCTCGCTCTGTCGCCCAGGCGGGACTGCGGACTGCAGTGGCGCAATCTCGGCTCACTGCAAGCTCCGCTTCCCGGGTTCACGCCATTCTCCTGCCTCAGCCTCCCGAGTAGCTGGGACTACAGGCGCCCGCCACCGCGCCCGGCTAATTTTTTTTGTATTTTTAGTAGAGACGGGGTTTCACCTTGTTAGCCAGGATGGTCTCGATCTCCTGACCTCATGATCCACCCGCCTCGGCCTCCCAAAGTGCTGGGATTACAGGCGTGAGCCACCGCGCCTGGCCAAAAACTTTGAGTTAATATGAATAACATTGTTTTTAAAACTTATTCAAAACTTTATAGTGTCCATATTGATACAAACACCTCTAAACTTAAAATAACCATTAACAATCACTGGCAATGTAAATACATGAATAATAAATCTGCTTTTATTTCCAGTTGCATATTTATATGACATTTACATATGTATGAAGATCTTTTAAATGTTTGTTTTGACTAATTTTAGAAATCAAAAAAACTTGCCAAAATAATACAGAGTTCCGTATACCCCAACTCAGTTTCCCCTAGTGTTAGCATTTTGTACTTAGACATAGTTATCAAAACCAGGACACTGATTTTTGTACAATAATATCAACTAAACTATAGACTTCATTCAAATTTCTCCAATTTTTCCACTAATGTCCTTTTTCTGTTATAATGTCCCATCCAGGACACCACACTGCGTTTCTTTGTTATTTTTCCTTAGGCTCTTCTAATCTATAATTGTTCACCAGTCTTTCCTTATCTTTCATGACCTAGAAACTTTCTAAGTTGTGAGTTTTGGCAAGAATACCACAGAAGAGATATTGTGTTCTGTTCAGAACATCATTTCAAGGGATTCATGTTGTCACTATGTGTTACAACTAGTGTTAACATTGATCGCTTGACTAAGGCAGATTTCTGACATTTTTAAAACTAGAAACTTAATTATATTCTTTTTATACCAAAATTCACAGCCTTTTAAATGTACTTAATAACAAAAACTTCCATACTACCAAAGTAGAATAGCCAAGCTAGTGACTCAGTAATATTCCTTGAAGAATAATATATGCTATTAGTGTACACTAGTCCTTGAAGAATAGTATAAGCACTGTGCTCGGTGGGCTTCTTAAGTGGAAAAAAAGAGATTTTGATTAAGTAAATATTATTGTTAATTGTCCCTTTTTGTAAGACCCAAAGGCACTTCTTCAATATAAGAACATATATCCCCTCATATCATTGCCAAATTTGAATTATATCTATCACTCTACTCATGGTGTCTTTTTGCCTGCATGCTCTTCCAGACCAGCTCAAAACAGTTCAGAACCATAGGATGGAGAAAAGAGAGCTTCATATCATATTTTCTAATGTCCTTTTTTATGGCATAGTCACAGCAGAATGATCCCAGGTGGAGAGAACAGTTCAATGGGAAATATCATTAATACAAGAGGGTCTCCAACTAAAACTACAATAGTGGATTGGTCTAGAGACCCTAAAACAACCCTCAGAGATATAAAGTGAGTATGAGACATCAGTTCTGGAGACCTGGAAAATCTCTGAGAAAATGCCCAATGGATCCTTCAGGCTATGTCAACAACCACTGCAGTCTCTTGGCCTCCAGGGTGCTTCCTGTGGAATCACTGTCTCCTATGCTCTTCATTGTTCAATTCTAATGTGATGTCCACTAGGAAGCATGCCCTGACCTCCTACAATCTACATCAGAGAGAAGCGATAGCCCCTCTTATTATATAATGTGTAGTTTCATATTACTTTACCCTCTTTCACCATTCTGGCACTTATTTCTTAACATCCTTTTTCCCGACTATGCTGAGAGTCTTTAAGGATATGAATATGAAACATATTTGTTTCCCCAGTGCCACCAAGCAATGTGCCTGATACCTGTCGATACTCAACAAATGTTTGCCATGGCATATAGCTAGCTCTTCTTTGGTGACACAGGGTTCAATCAATTTGGGATACTACAGAAGATTCTTTTAGCCCTTGTGAATAGGACAATAAGGAAAGAAAATCTATTGAAACAAGCAAATCATCTGAGGCTCCTAAAAGTGAAGAAGAATAATTTTTCACACACTATTTCTTTTAGATTTTTTCCCTTAAGCTTAATTTTAAAGTTCCACAAAAGCATAGCGGGCTTGTTCCACTTGAGACACAATAGAAAATTGAGAATAGAAAGGATAAAATGCAATTTTGCTTTAGCCACCAATTACAGAGGTTAAAGAAAAATATGTCCTAGGTCAGGTGCAGTTGCTCACACCTGTAATCCCAGCATTTTGGGAGGCCAATGTGGTAGTATTGCTTGAGACCAGGAGTTTGAGACCAGCCTGGCCAACACAGTGAGACCCTGTCTCTATGAAAAATTTAACAAAAATTAGCCAGGTTTGGTGGCATGCACCTGCAATCCTAGCTATTCAGGAGGCAAAGGCAAGAGGATCCCTTGAGCCCAGGAGTTCAAGGTTACAGTGTATTATGATCATGCCACAGCAATCCATCCTGGGCAACAGAGTGAGACCCTGTCTCAGAGAGATAAAGAGGGATGGAGAGAGAGAGAAGGAGAGGAAGAGACAGAAAGAGAGAGAGAGAGAATGTCCTTTCTCTTAAGTATAGCATGGATTGGTCACTACCTAAGTAGATATAGACACTGTCTCTCTGATATACTCTGGATGCTATAATTAAAGGGTAGGGGAGAGGGAATAAGGAACCCATAGAGCCTCTGCTTAGAAGAAAGGAGATAGCAAGAGCAGAAATCATAGCAAAAAGAAAGAGATGTACCTTGGAAGGACCTTGCCATTGATCCTGTAGGGTAAGATTCTAGGACACTTAGTTTAACTCAATTCAATGTTCATTTATAGCTACTATCATCTTCAAATCAGGAGTCCAGCTGGGAGAGAGCTATAGTTATTAGTGAGAAATTAATTGAAAACAATTTTTATTTTAGGGCATTTTGTGTGCTTTGTTGTGTTTGAGGATGCAAGAGGAGGGATTATTGAACGCCAAAATTCATGCAAGTCCCATCTGTCCTTCAATTCAAATAACACCATCTCAAAATTTTAACCTAGAAGTGACTGACAGCCCATTATGTACCATGTGCTACATGCTGGGAATAAAAGGACAGTAACACAGCCTCTACATTCGAGAGTACTTACAAATCTCACTAAGGCAGCAAACTTCTCTTATACAATGAGCCAGAACTATAGAATACAAACATAAACAGAGGATATGAGAAAATAGAAGCAGGAATAACTAACTTAAATAAATAAATCCAAGAACTAGAAGTCACTAATGAAGTGACAGAAAAATTATACAGAATAACAAGGGGATAGAGAAAAACCCCAATTATTTCAAGAGCCTTATACTAACAGAACTCTATAAACCTATTATTTTTAGCAGTTTAATCTATAGATTTCTAAAAGCAGTCTGCATCAAGAATCTGAAATATATAACTTTAAAGGAAGGATAAGCAAGAAAGAGGGAATAGTAAAGGTTATGTTAGCCCTCCATTAAAACATACAACTGTCCCACATTTGTATTTTTAGACCAAAAAGTTTCAAGACAGAGATCTGGCATAATGTGTGTTAACTCCTCTAAAAGGCTGGCTTTATAACTCTTGACACAAAGAGACAGCTCACATTATTGTTGGGATAAATACTGTTCAGATACCTGAAGAAATTTCAGACTCAATTTGGATGGGCTGCCATTTGTCCTTTGTTTACCATGACTAAAACTACACTTACCCTGAGGGGTATGTCATTAAACTATCTGTAGCATTTTTTTTTCTCTCACTTATTTTTGGACTGAACTGCTGAGTATGTTCTCCTCTGAAGAAGAGGAAATAGTGCAGGATTTTGAGTCCACACCAAGCCTCAGTGACATCAGTGGCCATAGAAAGACATTTTTATGGTTACTACTCTTTAGAGTATTGGGTTTTTGTTGAATCAGCTTTTGCATTTCAGATTCTAAAAACTAAATTATGTATCATACAATAAATTAGCAACTCACCAAAATTACTACTTAATACAGATCATAGTTGCCTTTGAATTTTGCTAGTCAGGAAAATTTTTAAAATTTGCATTCATCTTTAAAGACTAACACAGAGGGAAAGGTAGATAATTCATAAATTCAAGCTCACAATTCTATATGAGAGTCTTCCCAAACCAGTGTTCTGAGTCATTTAAGCAATGACAAATATTCATTTCTGCATTTGAAAAATTAAACACTTAATTAACTACATTTATTTAAAGTCACCAAAAGTCTCACCTTGTCATGTCTAATAAACATATATGGCAGCATACTGGTAGCTCAGAATATTATATGTGTGTATAATCAGTTTCAATTAATAATATGTACAAACATCTCCAGGAAGAAAATACATGAATCTTTGTACAAAGCAGTTTTAAGTAATAATTTAATGAAGAATCAAAGACTATCCTATAAAACAAATTAGAGTCGAATAAAATTTTATTTATAATATCCTAATCTCCCCCAACTAGTGTCTTGTGAGATAAAAAGAAACAAAAAAGGCAGAATATTGATCATTTTTGAAGCATAGAGTTCATTATGCTGTCTTCTCTTTATTTATATATATGGTTGAAATTTTCTATTATAAAGAGTTTAAAAAATAAATTAGAGTTTCAAATAGGTATATAGAACTTCCATTTCTGGCAAAATGCAGTAGATGTACTTTTTCCTATTCTTCCAGTTAGGTACAATTGAAAACTCTGGACATTCCTATACAATAAATATAAGACTGGAAAGCAAAGATAAAAGACTACTTGCAACCTCGAGACCTGAAGAATAACATCGTAGTAAGTTCCCTGGGTTTTCTTCTTGCCTTATACCACAACTAAAGGTGAAGAAGCTGGAAACATAAAAACTTAAACAGACACAGACTAAAGCCCCAACAAAAGCTTTCTCTCTCTAGGAAAAGGATCAAGAAAGGGACAGCCTAGCAAGACAAAATGTTCAGATAATAACCATCCTAATATAGCCAAACACCGCAGCAAAAAATGTGGCTCCAACAACTGGGAAGATGTCAAACTGAATGCAAAAAAGATAATCAATAGATGTCAACACTGAAGTGACAGAAATACTAGATGATCTGACAAATACTGTAAAGTAGACTTAATAAAAAGTCTTCAACAAGCTATTAAACATGCTTGAAACAAATGAAAGCAATAGAAACCTTCAGCAAAAAAAAAATGGATGTAAAGAAGAATCAATAGAAAATGTAGAACTCAAAAATACAATAACTGAAACAAAAAGGCTCAGTGGGTGGGTTCCATGACAGAATGAATGTAAGGGAGAAAGAAAAGATTCAATAAAGTAGAAGATGGAATAATAGAAATTTCCCAATATAAAGGTGATCAAAATGGCAGAAATTGAAGTGATGCAGCCATAAGCTAAAGAAAGCTGACAGCCACCAGAAGCTAGAAAGGTCAAGAAACAGACCCTCTCATTACAGCCTCCACAGGGAGTGTTAATCTGTCAATACAATTATTTCAGTTGAGTGAAACTGATTTTTGACTTCTTGCCTCCACAACTGCAAGAGAATAAATTTCTGTTGTTTAAAGCCACCAGATTTAAGGTGATTTGATACAGCAGACTGGAATCTGCTACGATTAATGTGAGTAATGGGTGTTACCAGGTAGAAGAAAGAAAACTACAGGCTAATATCTTTTATGAACAAAATACTTATAAACCTAACCTAGCAACCTATGAAAAGAATTATACACCATAACTAAGTGGGTGTGAAAATATACAGAATGTGTTCTATAACCAAATGGAACCAAACTAGAAATTGACAACAAAAACATAATGGAAAAATCTACAAATATTTGAAACTAAACAACACACTCTAAATAATCCATGGTTCAAAGAGAAAATCTCAGAAGAAATTTTTTAATCTATTGACCTTAATGAAAATAAAAATACAACACATAAAAATTGCTTTAGCTGTGTTGAGAGAAAAATTTGTAGCACTAAGTGCATAGATTAGGAAAGACGAAGTCTCAAATCAATAATCTAAGCTATCTCAAGAATCTAGAAAGAGAGAAGAAAATAAGCTCAAAGTAAGCAAAAGGAAGAAAATAATAAAAACAAGAGCAGAAATCAACAAAATTAAAAGCAAAGACCATAGAAAAAAACCAAACAGCTGTTTCTTTGAAAAGAAAAACTGGCAATTCTTTAGCAAAACTAATGAAGAAAATAGAGAAAATAAATAAATTGTCAGTATTAGGAATGAAATAAAGGCTATCACTAGGGATTCTGAGAACATAAAAGGATAATAAGTAAATATTGCTAACAACTCTATAAATACAAACTTGACAAGTTAGACAAGATAAACCATTTCCTTAAAAAACATAAACTATCACAACTCATCCAATAGGAAATAGGTAATTTGAATAGTCCTAAAACTATTAAGGAAACTTGATTCACAATTTTAAAACACTCCAAAAAAATTCTCCAGGATCCGATGGTTTCGCTGAAAAATTTTACCAAAGGTTTGAAGAAGTAATACCAATGCTATATAATCTCTTCCAGAAAATAGAAGAGGTAACATGTCTGAATTCATTTTATGAAGCCAATATTAACCTATTAGCAAACCAGAGACAGACAATACAAAAAAACTATAGGCAATATTTCTCATGAATATAGATGTGAAAAAAATCCTTAACACAATATTAGCAAATAGGATTCAGCAATTTTTTTTTAAAGGTACACTATAATCAAGTGAGGTTTATTCCAGGG
Organism: Homo sapiens; assembly: GCF_000001405.40. Classification (NCBI taxonomy): domain Eukaryota; kingdom Metazoa; phylum Chordata; class Mammalia; order Primates; family Hominidae; genus Homo; species Homo sapiens. The sequence goes on along the minus strand of NC_000006.12, from coordinate 97,430,061 downwards.
ATACAACACTGGTTCAATTTTCAAAAATTAATCATTGCTATAGATTACATGACCATGTTAATTAATGCAGGAAAAGCATTTGACAAAATTCATCATTCATTCATGATAAGAACTCTCAGAAAATTAGGAATGGAGAGAAATTTCCTCAACTTGGTAAAGAGCATCTATAAAAAATTTTTTTAAATGAAAAAGCTATAAGTTAACATTATACTTAATGTTGATAGACTGGATGCTTTCCCTGTGATATCTGGAGCAAGGCAAGGATATCCACTGTCACCACTCTTATTCAACACATGCTACAAGTTATCTTCAGTACAGTAAGGCAAGAAAAATAAGTAAAGCCATGCAGATTAGTAAGGAAGAAATAAAACTCTTCCTAACTGTAGATGATGCGATTGTCTACATAGAAAATTCCAAGGCATCTACCAAAAAAAAAAAATAGAATGAATAAGTGAGTTAAGAAAGGTCAGAAGATATATGATAAACATGTAAAAATCAATTTTATTTCTATATATTAGTATTGAACACATGGATAACAACATTTTTAAAAATAATGCCATTTACATCAATGCCAAAAAATGTAAACAGTTAGGAGTATATTTAAAACATGTACAGGATGTTCATGTTCTAAATCTTGGATGCATCAATATTAGTATCCTGGTTGTGATACACAACTTTGGTTTTGCAATATGTTACCATTGAGGAAAACTGGGTCAGATGTACATATAAACTCTCTGTATTATTTCTTACAGCTGTACATAAATCTACAATTATCTCAAATTAAAAGTTTTAATTTTTAAATGTTGGTATGTAGAAAGCTGGTGCTGCACATTTCTAGGCCGTCTTCTCTACACTCCCACTTATATTTCCAGATGAATAAAAACTTTAGTAACAGGAAAATCTGGGTTTGAGTCACAGTTCTTCCACTTACTTGTTTTAAGACTTGCCCTCATCTATAAAATAGGTACAGTGATAATAATAATAATGATAATGTCTGCCTAAGAGGGTTGTTTTTAGGATTAAATGAGATCAACATTTAATCCTAAAAATGCTAAATGTTAGCTTGACAGTAAACTTAAATGTAAAATTAAGAATATGCTTTGCACAGATTAAGCCTTCAATATGACAGCAATGATGATGTTAATTATGACTATCACACTTTGATAGGAATTCTCTCCATCTTATCATACTGATCTATGCTCTTAAGATCATTTTTCTGCCTTCTACTTCATGACACTATTTGCTTCCAATCATTTTTCTGGTCCACCCAACAAGACATCCACAAAAATACATCCAAAACTCCTAACGCATTTTTGCCTATCCTCCAGCCTGCTTTTATTCCTACATCCTCTATAGACATTAATATTCTCTCAGTTGCAAAATCCAGAATTATTGCAAAGATTGTAAATGACAGCTGCAGGTTTAATTCAACTGGAAGATTTGTTTTGACTGAGTCATACAGGATTGTTTTTCTGTTTCTAAATTATTTATTATCATTTAAAAATCAGCAGATTCTCCATAAAGATTCAAATTTAAAACTCCTTTTAAGAAATTAGAGTACAATTGCTTGAACCTGGGAGGCGGAGGTTGCAGTAAGCTGAGATTGCACCACTGCACTCCAGCTGAGTGACAAGGGCAAAACTCCGTCTCAAAAAAAGGAAAAGAAAAGAAAAGAAATTAGAGTACAATATCAGACAGTACATGGCTCATATTTCGATGGCAGAAACCCACTGGAGCCTCCGAGCAAGTGCACTCTTTAGACCAAGTATGTGCTCTATAATCCCCACAGTCTCCACCACTATCTAGTGACTTGCACATGTTCCCGACTCTAAATTACCTAACTGCTCCCTCTGTAATCATTTGAGTTTTCAACCAGCATAAGCCTGTCATCTTGGGCATCTTTATCAATAACTGTAACAAGCCAGTTACAGTTCCTTTCAATTTTCCACTCTGATTTTGGAGGATATATCCACTAACCTGATTCAGACCCCAAGTATCTCCTACGTGGACCACTGCAAGTGGTTCTCCTTGTTTCCAGTCTAGCCACCTATTTAATTAATTCCCTATGCTGCCTCCAGAGAGATTTTCTTCAAAACTCATAAAAAATGTGGTATGGTATGCTGGTGAGAACAAAAAACTCTGAAACTAGACAATCTGAGTTCTACTCTCACCTCTGCAACTTATTAGCTATGATTCTTGAACAACTTATTAACCTCACTGCTTGTTTCCTCAGCTATAAACTGGAGATAATAATTAACAGTCTATGTACATCATGGGATTCTTATGAGTATTAACTGAGTTAAAATATGTAAAGCACTTAAAATAGTGTCTGACATATAGCAAGAGCTATATGTTAACTGTTACTATTATCATCTCTCTCCCTTTTTCTTAAAATTGCTTCATGGCTTCCCACTCCCTGCTGACAGTTCTTGCCATTTATGATATGACCACAAACTGTGTATCTACTCTAATTTTCCATTTCTAGCTACACTGAATTACTTGCCATTTCTTGAAAATAAATCACCACTGTTAAACCTCCAGGCTTTTATATTTATTTTTCTCTTACTATGAGAAACACCATTCTCCATTTCCTTGGCTTGGAAAATTCAAGCTTTCTGCTTTGGAATCCAGGTCGAAGACACCACCTCTGTGAAGTCTTCCCTCTCAACTACACACTTAAGCAAAATTCCATCCACTGCATTCCAAAGACACTCTTTATATATGCTATTAGAGTACTTATAACATATATCATGGGTTTTTGGGTCTACATTCCAACTCTGTGGAGTTTTTATCTGTCTGACTTTTGACAAATAATTTGACTTCTCTGTGCTTCAGTTTCCTCATCTGAAAATGGAGATTACGATAGTACCTACCTCAAAGGTTTGTTGGGATTAAATAAAATAATATATGCAAAAGCCATGTCCAATATGTGAAACATAAAGCTTGACACACATTTTTACTATCATCATCATTATTATGAGTGTAATATTCAAATTAATAAGTCTGGCACTGAACATTTTCTAGGCCCTCCTCTCTAAGCTCCCTCTGTTATTTCTAGAGAAGTGTAGGCTTTGGTAATGAGAAAGCCAAAAGAATCCAAAAAGAATCACATGTTCTTAAAAGAAGGGAACTTTTCTAAAGCATCTTTTAGCACAGGACCTGGAAGTAGTAGGAGAGCCCTTAAATCTTTGTTAAGTGAGTAAGTATCCAGAGGAGAAAAGAAAAGGAAGGCCATTGCTGTGTATATCCTATATATATGCCTATATATGCCCTAAATATTGTATACTTAAATCATAAAAAATGTTTTTCCACTTCCTTCCCTGGAATCTTCTCTGGTATCTTATTTTTGGAAACCACAGACAGTATTATAATATTTTTATATAGAGGCAGTTATAAGCAGACTTTATCAACAAATGAATTGAGGTTTATATAATGGCTCTATCACTTCCTAGCTGCATGAACATGGATGAGACACACAACTCTCTGCACCTCAGTTGCTTGATTGTTACATGGAATTAATAATGCCTATTTTCAGGTTTACTGTGAGCATTAGATGGGAAAGCACGACAGCACCACGTATAGAGTCTGGCATATGGTATGGGATCAATAATTGGTAGCTATTAAGAGATTATCTTCGAGATCGCGCCACTGCACTCCAGCCTGGGCGACAGAGCGAGACTCCGTCTCAAAAAAAAAAAAAGAGATTATCTTCTTTTTGTATCATTTTTAAGTTTTCTAACAGACTTGGATTCTACAATTCCTACTTTTTAAAGGTAAAGGATCCACGATCTCTTAGAAGAGTCTTAAATATTCAGAGTTTAAATGCAGGCTGGTGAAAACGTAGGCCGGGGAGAGGAGTGCCTACAGAAGGGCACTGGAGGCAGAAAGATACGTGTGTTTAGGTATTTATGAACAATTTACTGTGCTAGAACATCAAACATAAGACAAGGATTGTGGAGATGGAAGGCTAGAGGTATAGACAAGGGCAGATAATGGAAAACCCTGGGTGCCATGTTAAAGAGCTTATTCTGTAGGTTAAGTAGATCTGTACGAAGGTAGCAGAGAATTGATATAATTATATTTTTGTTTTACATCTATACCCCTGATGTGGCATGTGATTCAAAGAAGAGATGGCTAGGGTCTCAGGGATCTATTAGGAGATTCTTCCAGCCAATATTCAAAATCAGAGAAAGAAAGACCTAAACTAGGGCAGAGACAGTGGAGATAGCAATAAGGAATAGTTTAAGAAATATTTGTCATGCAAAAATCAGCTGGATAAGTAACTGATTGGAGCAGGGGTGAGGGAATGGGAAGAGTGACAGAGCTTTATGGCTTTCTTGACTGGTTTTTGGTACCATCAATTGAATTAGAGACTGAATGAATTGTTTTAGGAAAGAGATGTTGATTTCAGCACTAAAAATGTCCAGTTTTAGGTAATTGAAAGCAACAGTGAAGCTGACCAGAAGGCTTTGGAACATATAGGGACAAAAATAGGTGTAGTTTTGGTTAATGAGAGAGTAGCATAATATTCCAAAGGGAAGAGCAGGTGCCAGGCAATGTCAGAGGCAAGTATCAACTCTACATTTGGAGAATTATATACCATCCATATGTATCTTGGAATTTTGTATCAATATCATTTTTATTATATTGTTGAAGACAATGATGTAGGGTGCTATGCAGTTTGCAAAGGGCTTTCACCAGTGCTATTTCACTTCGTCTTTGAGAGAAATCTATCAGAGAGACATGAAAGCTCTCATTCCCATTTTATAGGTGAAAAAAATGGGGTTTTGAATAGTTAAATTGTTTTCCAAAAACATAACGTCAACCAATGACTATATTCCAAACATTTATTCTGACTCTAAGTTTTAACCACATTTATGATACCATTGGGGCGAATGTTCAACCTAAGGATTTAGTCAGAAAAGTGTCTTCTACTAAATCACTGATTCAAACTAACCTTACCTATTGTCTTGAAAATTAATTAGGTTCAACATCATTCCTGTTGGTTGGGGAATCTCATCTATTGGTCTTCTGTTAATTGAGCATTATTATAAGTAGGCATACAGTATGGGAAGACAAAAGACAGTGTTTAAGAACTCAAACAATGAGCCAGAAACACAGGGCTTGAAACCCAGTTCTACCATTTACCAGCTGTCTGACGTTAAGTAGTTATTTAATCACTCTGACACTCAGTTTTGTTACCAATATATTGGGGATAATGATAGGATATATTTCACATGGTTGTCAGTAAAAGATTAGTGATTTAATACCAATCAAGTGTTTAGAATAATGCCTAGGCACTTAATGTTGTCTATCTTTATATTATTGAATTTGAAACATTATTATATGCACACATTCCCCAGTACCTGGTATGCAGCTATTGATATGGCAAATGCCCATGGTCCACACTCCTGCTACACTCCTTTCTCTCTCTCAGCCTACACCTATGGCTTCATGGATGGTTCTCTAAGATCAGTTGACAGAGAAAAAGAAGACTGAGGCCAAGTTTACAGGCAGTTCTACATGATATGTGGCCACCACCCAGAAGAAAATATCTGCAGCACTACGGCCCCTTTCTGACACATCACTGAAGAGCAGTGGTGAAGGGAAATCCTCCCATGGGACAGAACTTTGGGAAGTGCACCTACTTGTGATCTTTGGTTGAAAGGAAAACTGGCCAGATGTGCAGTTATATACAGATTCAGGCACTTGGAAATAACGTGATTGGAAAATTTATGACAAAGAAATCTGAGGAATAGGTATGTGAATAGATCTCTCTGAATGAGCAAAAATGTGAAGATATTTGTGCCCCATATGAATGCTACCCAAAAAGTGAACACAACCGAGGAAGATTTTAATAATTGAATAGATAGAATGACTCTTCTGTGGACACCAGTCAGCCTCTTTCCCCAGTCATTCCCAATGGGCTCATGAACACAGTGACCATAGTGGAAGGGATGGATGTCATGCAGGGGCTCAGCAACATGACTTCCATTCACCAAGCCTGACCTGGCCAGGATCACCACTGAGTGCCCAATCTGCCAGCAGCAGAGAGCAACAGGGAGCCCTCACTATGACACCATTTCTAGGGATAATCAGCCAGCTATCTGGTGACAGGTTGATTACATTGGACCACTTCAATTGTGGAAGTGGAAGCATTTTGTCCCTACCAGAATAGACACTTACTCTGGATATGGATTTGTCTTCTCTTCATAACATGCTTATGCCAAAATTACCAACCATGGAATTACATAATTCCTTATCCACCATTATGGCATTTGATAATGGCCTTATCCACCATGATGGCATTCCACACAGCATTGCTTCCAATCAAGGAAATCATCCCCAGCAAAATATGTGTGACAACAGGCCCATGCTCATGAAATTCACTGCTCTTACCATATTTCCCACCATCCTGAAGCAGCTTTCTTGATAGAACAGTGGAATTGTCTTTTGAAGACTCAGTTATAGCACCAACTAGATGAATAGAAATACCTTTCAGGACTGGGGCAAGATTCTCCAGAAGGCTGTATATGGTCTGAATCAGTATCCAAAATATGGTGCTGTTTCTCCAATAGTCAGGATTCAAGGGTCTAGGAATTAAGAGTGAAAATGAGAGTGACACCAGTCAGTATTACCCCTAGTTACCCACTAGTAAAGTTCTTGCTTTCTGTTTCAGTGATTTTATAATCTGCTGGTCTAGAAGTCTCAGTTTCAGAGAGAATATTACAACTGTGAGACACAACAACCATTCCATTGAACTGGAAGTTAAGAGTGCCAACTGGAAACTTTGGGCTCCTCATGCCTCTGAATCAACAGGTAAAGAAGAGAGACAAGGGTGTTGGGTAGGGTAATTGGTCCTGACAACAAAAGAGACATTGGACTATGACTCCATAATGGAGGTAAGGGAGAGTATGCCTGGATTATAGGAGATTCCTTTGGGTATCTCTTAGTATTACCAGGCCCTGTGATTAAGGTACATGGAAAACTACAACCCAATCCAGGCAGTACTACAAATAGTCTAGACCCTTCAGAAATAAAGATTTTAGTCACTCCTCACACCCACCCCAGGTAAAGAACCATAACCAGCTGAGGTTCTTGCTGAAGGCAAAGGAAATACAGGATGGACAGTATAAGGTAATTATAAATACCAGTTACTACCACACAACCAGTTACAGAAATGAAAAATTTAGGGACTTGGGGCAGAGCAAGATGGTGGAAGAGAAGGTTCTACCAGTCGTCCCTGTGGCAAACACAATTTAACAACTATCTACACACACACACACACACACACACACACACACACAAACTCTATAAGAACAAAGGAAAAGGTGAGCACTCACAGTACCTGGTTTTAACTTCATATCATTGAAAGAGGCACTAAAGAGGTAAAAAAAAACAGTCTTAAATCACTGACGCCATCCGTCCTCCATCCCCTGGCAGCAAAAGCATGGTACAGCATGTTTTGGCGATTGGAGAGAGGGAGAGCCTAGCATTTGTTAGGCACTGAACTCAGTGCTACCCTAATATAACAGAAAACAAAACTGGACCAAACTCAGCTGATGCCCACCCACAGAGGGAGCATTCAAACCAGTCATAGCCAGAGGGAAATCACTGATCCCAGCAGTCTAAACTTAAGTTCCCAAAAGCTTCCCTGTTGTGAGTTAAAGTACTCTGGGGCCCGAAATAAACTTGAAAGGCAGTCTAGGCCTCAAGGACTGTAACCCCTATGTGAGTCCTAGTGCTGAACTAGGCAGGCCCAGGGACAGTGAACTGGGTGGGGAGGGTGGGGAGGTGGGCTGGTATATGACCTACTGAGACACCAGCTGGAGCAGCTAAGGAAGTGCTGACATCACCTCTTCTCTAACACTAGGATGCACAGCTCACAGCTCCAAAAAAATCCTCTTCTCTCTGCTTGAGGAGAAGGGAGGGAAGAATGCGGAGAACTTTGTCTTGTATCTAGGATACCAGCTCAGCCACAGCAGGATAGGGCACCAGTCAGAGTCATTCCAGGCCCTAGCTCCCAGATGACATTTCAAGACACACTGCACCAGAAGAGAATGCACTACCTTAAAGGAAAGGACCACGTCCTGGCAGGACTCATCACCTGCTAGCTGAAGAGACCTTAGGCCCTGAATAACCAGCAGTGAATCCCAGGTACTATGTCAAGGGCCTTTGGTAAGACTCTGAGGCTTGCTGCCTTCAGGTGAGACTCAGCACATTTCCAGCTGTGGTAGCTATAGGGCAAGAATCCTTTCACTTGAGAAAGGTGGAGAGAAAAGCAAAGGGTACTTTGTCTTGCACCTTAAGTACCAACTCAGTCACGGGGGGTAGAGCACCAAGTGGGCTCTTGGGGTCCCCAGTTGCAAGACTTGGCTCTTGCATCCAAAAGGGAAGCCCACTGCCCAGAAAGGTGAGTACCAGGCCAGGCAGCATTCACCACAAGTTGACTGAAGAACTCTTGGGCTTTAAGGGAATGTCAGTGGTAGTCTGGCAGTACCCTCTGTGGGTCTGTGGTGGCAGTGACCATGGGGTGAAGCTCCTCTGCCTTTGGAAAGGGGAGGGAAGAGTGGGAAGAACTGTGTCTTGTAGTTTGAGTGCCAGCTCAGCCACAGCATAAGAGAACACCAGAGAGACTTCATCAGAGAGACTTCTAAGGTTTCTGACTCTAGTCCCTGGCTCCCAGATCAGATAGCACCTCCAGGTTAACACAGAACTTGGGGGAGCTTGCTATCCTGAAGGAAAAGACACCGACCTGTCCAGTTTGCCACCTTCTGATTGTGGAGCCCCAGGGCTTTGAGAAAACACAGGCTATAGCCAGGAAATAATTACAGTAGCCCTTGGGCAAGACCCAGTGCTATACTGGCTATGGAAGGTCTGACCTAGCACAGTCATAGTGGTGGTGACCACAGGAGTGCTTGTGTCACCCCCAACCCCAGCTCTAGGTGGCTCAAACAGAGAGAGAGAGACTGCATACGTTTGGAAGAAAGTAAAAAAGAGAACAGGAGTTTCTGCCTGGTAATCCAGAGAATTATTCTGGAACTTGTCCAAGACCATCAAGGAGGTACCTCTGCGAGTCTGCAAGAACCACAGTATTACTGGGCTCACAGTGTCCCCTAAAGTAGATACTGCTTACATCACAACCACCAATCTGGAATATCTGGAAAGCCTTCCCTAGAAGCCTGGGTACAAACAAGTCCAGACTGAGAACACTACAATAAATACCTAACTCTTTAATTCTCAGGCACAGATGAACATCTACAAGCATCAATATCGTCCAGGAAAACATGACCTCACTAAATGAACTAAATAAGGCACCAGGGGCCAACCCTGGAGAAACAGAGATATGCGACCTTTCAGACAGAGAATTCAAAATAGCTGTGTTGGGGAAATTCAAAGATAACACAGAGAAGGAATTCAGAATTCTATCAGATAAATTTAACAAAGAGATTGAAATAATTAAAAAGAATCAAGCAGAAATTCTGGAGCTGAAAAATGCAATTGCCACATTAAAGAATGCATTAGAGTTTTTTAATAGCAGAATTTATGGAGCAGAAAAAAAGAATTAGTGAGCCTGAAGACCAGCTATTTGAAAATACACAGAAAAGACAACCAAAAAAAATAAAAAACAATGAAGCACACCTATAGGATCTAGAAAATAGCCTCAAAAGGGAAAATCTAAGAGATATTGGCCTTAATGAGGAGGTAGAGAAAGAGATAGGGTATAAAGATTATTCAACGGGATAATAATAGAGAACTTCCCAAACTCAAAGAAACAATATCCAAGAATAAGAAGGTTATAGAACACTAAGCAGATTTAACCTAACAAAGACTACCACAAGGCATTTAATAATCAAACTCCCAAAGGTCAAGAATAAAGAAAAGATCCTAAAAAGCATCAAAAGAAAATAAACAAATGACATACAATGGAGCTCCACTACAGCTGGCAGCAGACTTTTCAATGAAAACCTTACAGGCCAAGAGAGTGGCATGATATATTAAAAGTGCTGGAAGAAAAAAGCTTTTACCCTAGAATAGTATATACAGCAAAAATATTCTTCAGTAATGAAGGAGAAATAAAGGCTTTTCCAGACAAATAAAAGCTGAGGAATTTTATCGACATCAGACCCATCCTACAAGAAATGCTAAAGAGAGTACTTCAATCAGAAAGAAAAGGAGGTTAATGAGCAATAAAGAATCATCTGTATAAAACTCACTGGTAATAGTAAGTACAGAGAAAGAATGCAAACTATTATAATATTGTAACTATGGTATATAAACTACTCTTATCTTAAGTAGAGAAACTAAATGATAAACCAATTAAAAATAATTACAACAACTTTTCAAGACATAGACAGTAGAATAAGATATAAATAGAAACAACATAAAGTTAAAAAATGGAAAAACAAAGTTAAGGTGTAGAGTCTTCATGAGTTTTTTTTTTTTTTTTGCTCCCCTGTTGTTTGTTTATACAAACAGTGTCAAGTTATTATCAGCTTAAAATAATGAGTTACAAAATAGTGTTTACAAGACTCTTGGTAACCTCAAACCAAAAAAAAAAAATACAACAAATACATAAGAAAGCAAAAAACTAAATCATATCACCAGAGAAAATCACCTTCACTAAAAGCAAGACAGGAAGGAAAGAAGAAAGAAAAGACTACAATACAATCAGAAAACAAATAACAAAATGGCAAGAGTAAGTCCTTACTTATCAATAATAATAATGAATGTAAATAGACTAAATCCTCCAGTCAAAAAGACATAGAGTGGCTGAATGGATTTAAAAAAAAAGACCAATGATCTGTTTCCTATAAGAAACATACTTCACCTGTAAAGAAACACATAGACTGAAAATAAAGAGAGGAGAAAAGATATTCCATGACAATGGAAACCAAAAAAGAGCAGGAATAGCTATACTTATATCAAACAAAAGCGATTTCAAGACAAAAACTATAAGAGACAAAGAGGGTCATGATATAATAATAAAGGGGTCAATTAGCAAGAGGATATAACAATTTTAAAAATATGTACACCCAACAGTGGAGCACCCAGACATATAAAGCAAATATTATTAGCACTAAAATAAGAGATAGACTCCAATACAATAATAGCTAGAGACTTCAACACCACACTTTCAGCATTGGACAGATCTTCCAGACAGAAAATCCACAAGGAAACATTGGACTTATTCTGCAGTATACACCAAATGGACCTAATAGATATTTACAGAACATTTCACCCAAGAGCTGCAACATACACATTATTTTCCTCAGCATGTGGATCATTCTCAAAGGTAGACCATATGTTAGGTCACAAAACAAGTCTTAAAATACTAAAAAAATTAAAATAATAGCAAGTATCTTCTTTAATCACAGTGGAATAAAACTAGAAATCACGTAAGGATTTTGTAAAAAATACCAGCAAATTAAACAATACGCTCCTGAATGACCAGTGGGTCAAGGAAGAAATTAAGAAGGAAATTGAGAAAAAAATTGGAACAAATAATAACAAAAACATAAAATATCAAAACCTAGGGGATACAGCAAAAGCAGTACTAAGAGGGAAGTTTACAGCTATAACTGCCTGTTAAAAAAAAAGGAGAAAAACTTCAAATAAACAACCTAACAATGCATGTTAAAGAATTAGAAAAGCAAGAGTAAAACAAACCCAAAATTAGCAGAAGAAAAATAATAATAAAGATCAGAGCATAAATAAATGAAATTGAAATGAACACAACAATACAAAAGATCAATGGAACAAAAAGTTGGTTTTTTGAAAAGTTAAACAAAATTGATAAACCTTTAGACAGACTAAGAATAAAAGAGAGAAGATCTAAATAAATAAAATCAGAGATGAAAAAGGAAACATCACAACTGACACTGCAGAAATTCAAAGGATCATTAGTGGCTATTATTAGCAACTATATGCAAATAAATTTTAAAATCTAGAAAAAATGAACAAATTCCTAAATACAAACAATGTACCAAGGTAGATCCATGAAGAAATCTAAAACGTGAACAGACCAATAACAAGAAACAAGACCAAAGCCATAATAAAAAGTCTTGCAGCAAAGAAAATGCCAGGACCCAATGACTTCACTGCTGAATTCTACCAAACATTTAAAGAACTAATACCTATCTTACTCAAACTATTCTGAAAAATAGAGGAGGAGGGAATACCCCCAAACTCATTTTATAAGGCCAGTATCACCCTGATACCAAAACCAGAAAAAGACACATCAAAAAAAGAAAACTACAGGTCCACATCTCTGATGAATATCCATGCAAAAATCCTCAACAAAATACTAGCAAACCAAATTCAAGAATACCTTAAAAAGATCATTCATCATGGCCAAATAGAATTTATCCCTGGCAAGCAAGAATGGTTCAACATATACAAATCAATCAATGTGATACATCATATCAACAGAATGAAAGACAGAAACCACATGATAATTTCAAATGATGCTGAAAAACCATTTGATAAAATTCAATCTCACGTCATAAAAACCCTCAAATAACTGAGTATGTAAGGAACACACCTCGACATAATAAAAGCCATATACAGCAGACCCACAGCTACTAACATACTGAATGGGGAGAAACTGAAAGCCTTTCCTCTAAGATCTGGAACACGACAAGGATGCCCACTTTCACCACTGTTATTTAACATAGTACTGACGGCATTGACCACGGGGTGAGGCTCCTCTGCCTTTGGAAAGGGGAGGGAAGAGTGGGAGGAACTGTGTCTTGTAGTTTGAGTGCCAGCTCAGCCACAGTATGAAAGAACACCAGAGAGACTTCATCAGAGAGACTTCTAAGGTTTCTGACTCTAGTCCCTGGCTCCCAGATCAGATAGCACCTCCAGATTAACACAGAACCTGAGGGAGCTTGCTATCCTAAAGGAAAAGACACCGACCTGTCCAGCTTGCCACCTTCTGATTGTGGAGCCCCAGGGCTTTGAGAAAACACAGGCTATAGCCTACCTAGAGCAATCAGACAAAGACCTAAAGGGTATCCAAACTGGAAAGAAAGAAATGAAATTATCCTTGTTTGCAGATGATATGATCTTATATTTAGAAAAACCTAAAAACTCCCCCAAAAAACTATTAGAATAGATAAACAAATTCAGTCAAGTTGCAGGATACAAAATCAACCTACAAAAACCAGTAGCATTTCTATATGCTAACAGTGAACAATCTCGGAAAGAAATCAAAAAAGTAATTCCATTGACAATAGCCACAAATAAAATTAAATAACTATGAATTAACCAAAGTAAAAGATGTCTATAATGAAAACTATAAAATACTAATGAGTAAAATTGAAGAGGACACAAAAATATGGAAGACATTCCATGTTCCTGAATAGGAAGAATCAGTATTATTAAAATGTCCATACTAACCAACGCAAACTACAGATTCAGTGCAATCCCTATCAAAATACCAGTGACATTCTTCACAGAAATAGAAAATACAATCCTAAAATTTTTATGGAACAACAAAAAACTCAGAATAGCCAAAGCTATCCTGAGCAAAAAGAACAAAACTGGAGGGATCATAGTATCTGACTTCAAATTACACTACAGAGTTACAGTAACCAAAATCGCATGGTATTGGCATAAAAAGAGACACATAGACCAATGGAGCAGAATAGGAAAACCAGAAACAAACCCACACACCTACAGTGAACTCATTTTTACAAAGTCTTTTTCCCCAGAGAACATACACTGGAGAAAAGACAATCTATTCAATAAATCCTTCTGGGTAAATTGCATATCCAAATGCAGAAGAATGAAACTAGACCCCTACGTCTTGCCATATATAAAAATCAAACCAAAATGGATTAAAGACTTAAATCTAAGACCTCCAACTATGAAACTACTACAAAAAAAACACTGGTAAACTCTTCAGGTCATTGGTCTGGCCAATGACTTCTCGAGTAATACCCCACAAGTATGGCAACCAAAGCAAAAATGGACAAGTGGGATCACATCAAGTTAAAAATCTTCTGCACAGCAAAGGATACAATCAACAAAGCAGAGACAACCCACAGAATGGGAAAACATATTTGCAAACTACCCATCTGACAAGGGATTAATAACTAAAATGCATAAGGATCTCAAACAACTCTACAGGAAAAAAAATTAATAATCCAAGTGAAAAATAGGCAAAATATTTGAGTAGACATTTCTCAAAAGAAGACATACAAATGGCAAGAGGCATATGAAAAGGTGCTTAACATCATCGATCATCAGAGAAATGCAAATAAAAACTACAAAGAGATATCATCTCATTCCAGTTAAAATGGCTTTTATCCAAAAGACAGGCAATAACAAACGCTGGTGAGGATGTGGAGAAAAGGGAACACTTGTACACTATTGGTGGAAATGTAAATTAGTACAACCACTATGGAGAATAGTTTGGAGGTTCCTCAAAAAACTAAAAATAGGGCTATCATATGACCCAGAAATCCCACTGCTGAGCATATATCCAAAAGAAAGGAAATCAGTAAATCAAAGACTTACTTACATGAAAAACATATTCCTATGTTTATTGCAGCATTGTTTACTATAGCTAAAATTTGGAAGCAACCTAAGTGTTCACCAATGGATGAAAGGATACAGAAAATGTGGAACATATACACAATGGAATACTATTCAGCCATAAAAAAGAATGAGATCCTGTCATTTACAATAACATGGGTAGAACTAGAGATAATTATATTAAGTAAAATAAGCCAGGAACAGAAAGACAAACATCTCATGTTCTCACTTATTTGTGGGATCTAAATATCGAAACAATTGAACTCATGGACATAGAGACTGGAAGAACGGTTGAAAGATAGTTAGGGCTGGAGGGGTGGTGGGGATGGTTAATGGGTACAAAAAATTAGAAGAATGAATAAGGCCTACTATTTGATACCACAACAGGATGACTACAGTCAATAATAATTATACATTTTAAAATAACTAAAAGAGTATAATTGGATTGTTTGTAACAGAGGATAAATGTTTGAGGGGATGGATACCCTATTCTTCATGATGTGATTATTACACATTGTGTGCTTGTATCAAAACATCTCATATACCCCATCAATACATACACCTACTATGTACTCACAAAAATTAAATTAAAAATTTAAAAATGATAGCTCCTATACAAAAATTCAGATTCTTCTTTGGGTAAAACCAATTTTTCACATTACTAATTTGATGATCATTCACTTGTAGTAGATGCTATAACAAAAAGATCTCTCAGGGTGGCCAGTTATGGGATCATTTTCAGTTTGCCAAATGATAATATTTTAAAACAGAAAGAGTTATTTTATCTTATTTGATTTATTTATTTATTTAGACAGAGTTTCGCTCTTGTTGCCCAGGCTGGAGTGCAATGGTGCGATCTCGGCTCACTGCTACCTTCACCTCCCAGATTCCAGCAATTCTCCTGCCTCAGCCTCCCAAGTAGCTGGGATTACAGGCATGTGCCACCACGCCTGGCTAATATTGTATTTCTGGTAGAGACGGGGTTTCTCCATGTTGGTCAGGCTGGTCTGAAACTCCTGATCTCAGGTGATCTGCCAGCCTCAGCCTCCCAAAGTGCTGGGATTACAGGCGTGAGCCACTGTGCCCGGCCAAAAGAGTTTTTTTTTTAAATATTAGGTTGGTGCAAAAGTAATCGCGGTTTTTGCCATTAAAGGTAATAATAAATAAAAGCAACATACGTATAAGAACTCTTCCAAAGTAAAAAAAATGAGGATTTAATCGTTATGTGTATTTCCTCCTTAATTTTTATGAATATGTTTGCATGTAAATATACCTGTATTAACAAACTATCTTTGTTTTCTTTTCTATTTCCTTATCATTAACATAAGATGTTACATAACTTATGTTAAGTCAATATGTATTAACATAAGATGCATATCAGTATTTAAGCACAGCCAGTCCTTTGTATCCACACGTTACCATCCACGGGGTCAACCAACAACAAATAGAAAATATTTTGGAGAAAAAAAGCACCTGTACTGAACATACACAGATTTTTTTCTTGTGATTATTTCCTAAACAATTCAGTGTAACAACTATTCACATAGCATTTACATTGTATGTGTTAAGTATTATAAGTAATCTAGAGATTATTTAAATTAAATGAGAGGACATGAATAGGTTATAAGCAAATATTACACCATTTTCAGTCAGGGACTTGACACCTGCAGATTTGTTATTCATAGGAGCTCCTGGAACAAATCCCCCATGGATACTGAGGAATGACTCTATTGTTAATTTTACATGATAATATTTAAGTAAAGGGATATCAAAAGAAGAGTAAACATCACTAAAGGACTTACCTCCTCATCTAAAGAAAGGATTAGTATGTTTTTGTTTCTACACAGGATACTTGTATCATATTAGGTAGAATTATGACCTTGTTATTATCTTTATTTGAAGATTAAATTTGATTTAAGGAGATGTATATGTGTGCTAAGTTGACAAGGGGCAGACTTGTGATGGCTAATTTGTCACAAATGAACAGTTTGGGCAAATGGATGCCCAGATAGCTGTTAAACATTGCTTCTGGGTGTGTTTGTGAGGGTGTTTCTAGATGAGATTAGAATTTTAATTGGTTGACTGAGTAAAAATGATCACCCGCACCAGTGTGAGTGGGCACCATCCAATCTATTGAGGGAGGGCCCAGTGGAACAAAAAGGCAAAGAAAAGGCAAATTCACTCTGTTTCAGCTTGGACACCCATCTTCTTCTGCCCTCAGACATCAGTGCCCCTGGCTCTCAGGCTTTCACTTCAACTGAATTATACCACCAGCTTTCCTGGTTCTCTAGCTTGCAGATTGCAGATTGTGGGACTTCTCAACCTCTGTAATCACAGAAGCCAATTTCTAATTTTTATATACAGGCACACCTTGTTTTATTGCACTTCATTTTATTGCTCTTCGCAGATGGGATTTCTACAAATTGAAGATTTGTGACAACACTGCATTGAGCAAGTCTACAGCATGTGCTCACTTCATGTCTCTGTGTCACATTTTGGTAACATTTGAAATATTTTAAACATTTTCATTATTATTATATATGCTATGGTGATCTGTGATCAGTGATCTTTGATGTTGCGATTGTAATTGTTTTGGGATGCCATGAAGTGCACCCATGTAAGACAGCAAACTTAATTGATCAGTTGTGTGTTCTGACAGCTCTACTCATTCCCCCATCTCTCATCCTCTCCTTGAGTCCCCCTATTCTCTGAGATACAACAATATTAAAATTGGGTCAATTAATAACCCTACAGTGGCCTCTCAGTATTCAAGTAAAAGGAAGAGGCACGTACCTCTCACTTTAAAATCAAAAGCTAGAAATGATTAAGCTTAGTGAGGAGGGCATGTTGAAAGCTGAGCTATACCAAACAGTTTTGTCCCAAACAGTTAACCAAGCTGTGAATGCAAAGGAAAGGTTCTTAAAGGAAATTAAAAGTGCTGCTACAGTGGACACTTGAAAAATAAGAAGGTTAAACAGCCTTACTGCTGATTTGAAGAAAGTTTTAGCAGTCTGAATAGAAGGTCAAACCAGCCACAACATTTGCTTAAATTTTCCCATTTAGAAAGAAAAAAAAAAAAGGTGCAGCTTTCTGCCAGCACTCATTTAAATTTACATAAACACACTCTTTGAGGCTGAAGCAAATCTGACTGATTTTTAGTGTGAAAATAAAATATAAAAACTGTTCTTGGAGTTATTTCTAAACAGAACTAACATCAGAATCATCTATTTCAGAAAAATTGAATTCATCAAATGAATCCGGCCAATAACTGTTCAAGAAAGATGTTAACATTACGCATAGAAATGCTGCGTTTTCT
The DNA here is from genome assembly GCF_000001405.40 of Homo sapiens. NCBI lineage: Eukaryota > Metazoa > Chordata > Mammalia > Primates > Hominidae > Homo > Homo sapiens. Next base: position 97,412,201 of record NC_000006.12, on the reverse strand, counting down.
AGGATTTGACATTTTCAGTGATCGAAAATTACTACATTTTGTCAATGGAAATACCACTACTAAAAACAGAATGTTATAAGTAGAATGATGTCTTTTGTTTCCAAAGTTGATGTACTAGAGTGATGCAAAAATAATAATAAAAGTGAGATATTTCTTGGCAAAGTTATTTTGGGGTAAATGCTGCAGCCACAAGTGCCACTGGTGAGTATTCTTAAGGCAAACTGAAAAAGAGTTAATCCAAACCCTAATCCAGAGTTAATCCTAACTCCCTTCAATTACATTAAGGCTGAGAGAGGTGAGGAAGTTGCAGAAGGAAAGCTGGAAGTTAGCAAAGGTTGGCTCGTGTGGTTTAAGAAAAGAAGCCATCTCCATAACAAAAAACAGCAAGGTGAAGCACCAAGTGCTTGATGTAGAAGCTGCAGCAAGTTGTTGAGAAGATCTAGCTAGCTAAGGTCACAGAACAAGGTGGCCACGCTAAACAACACATTTTCCACATAGAAAACAACAGCCTTCTATTGAAAGAAGATGTCACCTAGGACTTTCATAGCTGCAGAGAAGTCAATACCTAGCTTCAAAGCTTTGAAGGACAGCCTGACTCTTTTGTTAAGGGTTAATGCAGCTGGTGACTAGAAGTTGAAGCTAATGCTTATTTATGATGACACAAATCCTAGGCCCCTTAAGAATTATGTTAAGTGTACTCTGCTTTTGCTCTGTAAATGGAAGAACAAAAATCCTCATGATGGCATGTTAGTTTACAGCATAGTTTACTGGATATTTTGAGCCCAGTATTGAGATACATTGTTCAGAAGATTCCTTTCAAAATATTATTGTTTATTAACAATGCACCTAATCACCCAAGAGCTCTGATGGGTATATACAGGAAGATTCATGTTGATTCCATGCCTGCTAACACAGCATCTATCTTGCAACCCATGGATCAAGGAGTTATTTCAACTTTCAATTCTTATTAGTTAAGAAATACATTTTTGTAAGGCAATGGCTGCTACAGATCATGATTCCTAGGATGCAACTGGGTAAAGTAAATTTAAAACATTCTGGAAAGGATTCACCATTCTTCATGTCATTAAAAAAAACCATTCGTGATTCATAGAATGAGATCAATATGTCAACGTTAACAAGATTTTGGAAGAAGCTGATTCCAACCCTCATGGATGACTTTAAGGATTGAAGACTTTAGTGGAAGATGTAACTGCAGATGTGATACAAAGAACAGGAAAACCAGAATTACGAGTGAAGCCCAATGATGTGACTGAATTGTTGCAATCTCACAATCAAACTTGAATGGATTAGGATTTGCTTCTTATGGATGAGCAAAGAAAGTAGTAGTTTCTTAGAGATAAAATGTAATCCTGTGAAGATGCTGTGAACATTGTTGAAAGGACAACAAAGAATGTAGGACATTTCATAAGCTTAGCTGATAAAGCAACAGTAGGCTTTGAGAAGATTGACTCCAATTTTGAAAGAAGGTCTACTGTAGGTAAAATGCCATCAGAGATTTCTACACACAAATCTTTCATGAAAGGAAGAGTTAATCAATGCAGCATACTTCATTATTTTCTTCTTTTAGGAAACTGTCACAGCCACCTCAATGTTCAGCAACTACCATCCTAATCAGTCAGCAGCCATCAACATACAGACAAGAATCTCCACCAGCAAAATGGTTACACCTCACTGAAGGCGCAGAAGATCACTAGCATTTTTTAGCAATAAAGTATTGTTACTTAAGGTACATACTTTTTTTTAGATATAATGCTATTGCATATTTAATAGACTACAACATAATGTAAACATAACTTTTATATGCACTGGGAAACTAAAAAAATTGTGTAACTCACTTTATTGTGATATTTGCTTTATTGTGATGCTCTGAAATCAAATCCACAATATCTCTCAGGAATGCCTGTGTTTATATATACATACATAACATATGTATGTATATCTATATATGTATGTATACATTGTATACATATATGTATGTGTATATATGCATATATACAGCATGTGTATATATTGATATAGTAATATACTGATATATTAAATATATGATATATACATATACATCAATATATTACTATATCATGTAATATATGTTTATGTATAGTATACATGTACCTATACATAGATATACTATACAATAAACATATATAGTGTATATATACATGTATTTTATATATACATCATATATGTGTGTATGTATACAATATACACATTTAGTGTATATAGGCATATATTTTATATATTTACATCATATATGTATATTGTATATATACACATTATATACAATAAAAATATATGTATATATGCACTATATACAATATACATATATAGTGCCTATATATTTTTATATAATACATCATATTATATTGTATATATGTATATGCATGTATATTGTATATATACACTATATATGTATATACATCATATATGTAATATATCACATATAGTTAACATATGTATATGTCTATATATGTATATAGTATATATGCATAAATTATGTTATGTATATATGTGTTATATATTAAGTAAATATCTCCATATAGTATACATAATACATAAATATACACATATGTATATATTTAATCTCTTTTTTTTCAATTTTTTAAATTTTACTTTAAGTTCTGGGATACATGTGCAGAATGTACAGGCTTGTTACATAGTTATACATGTGCCATGGTGGTTTGCTGCACCTGTCAACCTGTCATCTAGGTTTTAAGCCCCGCATGCATTAGGTATTTTTCCTAATGCTCTCCCTCCTGTTGCACTCCGCCCTGCAACAGGCCCCGGTGTGTGATGTTCCCCTCCCTGTCTCCATGTGTTCTCACTGTTCAACTCACTGCGGTGTTTGGTTTCCTGTTCCTGTGTCAGTTTGCTGAGAATGATGGCTTCCAGCTTCATCCATGTCCCTGCAAAGAACATGAACTCATCCTTTTTATGGCTGCATGGTATTCCACGGTGTATATGTGCCACATTTTCTTTTTTTTTTAATTATACTTTAAGTTCTAGGGTACATGCATATGCACAACATGCAGGTTTGTTACATATGTATACATGTGCCATGTTGGTGTGCTGCACCCATCAACTCATCATTTACATTAGGTATATCTCCTAATGCTATCCCTCCCCCTCCCCCCACCCCACGACAGGCCCCAGTGTGTGATGTTCCCCACCCTGTGTCCAAGTGTTCTCATTGTTCAATTCCTACCTATGAGTGAGAACATGCGGTGTTTGGTTTTCTGTCCTTGCGATAGTTTGCTCAGAATCATGGCCACATTTTCTTTATCCAGTCTATCATTGGTGGGCATTTGAGTTGGTTCCAAGTCTTTGCTATTGTAAACAGTGCTGCAATAAACATACATGTGCATGTGTCTTTATAGTAGAATGATTTATAATCCTTTGGGTATATAACCTGTAATGGGATTGCTGGGTCAAATGGTATTTCTGGTTCCAGATCCTTGAGGAATCACCACACTGTTTTCCACAGTGGTTGAATGAATTTACACTCCCACCAACAGTGTAAAAGAGTTCCTATTTCTCCACAGCCTCACCAGCATCTGTTGTTTCTTAACTTTTTAATAATCACCATTCTAACTGGCATGAGATGGTATCTCATTGTGGTTTTGATTTGCATTTTTCTAATGAACAGTGATGATGAGTTTTTTTTCATATGTTTGTTGGCCACAAAAATGTTTTCTTTTGAGAAGTATCTGTTCATATCCTTCACCCATTTTTTGATGGGGTTTGTTTTTTTCTTGTAAATTTGTTTAAGTTCTTTGTAGATTCTGGATATTAGCCCTTTGTCAGATGGATAGATTGTCAAAATTTTCTCCCATTCTGTAGGTTGCCTGTTCACTCTGATGACAGTTTCTTTTGCTGTGCAGAAGCTCTTTAGTTTAATTAGATTCCATTTGTCAATGTTTGCTTTAGTTGCAATTGCTTTTGGTGTTTTAGTGATAAAGTCTTTGCCCATGCCTATGTCCTGAATGGTATTGCCTAGGTTTTCTTCTAGGATTTTCATGGTTTGGGGTTTTATATTTAAGTCTTCAATCCATCTTGAGTTAATTTTTGTATAAGGTGTAAGGAAGGGGTCCAGTTTCAGTTTTCTGCCTATGGCTAGCCAGTTTTCCCAGTACCATTTATTAAATAGGGAATCCTTTCCCCATTGCTTGTTTTTATCAGGTGTGTCAAAGATCAGATTGTTGTAGATATGTGGTGTTATTTCTGAGGTCTCTGTTCTGTTCCATTGATCTATATATCTGTTTTGGTACCAGTACCATGCCGTTTTGGTTACTGTAGCCGTGTAGTATGGTTTGAAGTCAGGTAGCATGATGCCTCTATTTTGTTCTTTATTGGTTCTGTTTCTCTGGAAAATCCTGACTAATAGATAAGCTTTTATTTTATTTGGCCTCTGGAATTCTGTTCCTCAAAAGTACACAAACAAATATTAAGTAAAGAAGATAATGAACAGACAATGTTAGGTTAAGTCAATGGAGGAAACAAAATCTCCCAACCTTCTCATTTACAGATGAATGGTGATGTTATAAGTTCAGCAGAATAACCACATTTTTTCTTATTTATATTCAGATGCTATAGCTCTAAATAATCACTACTGAAATTAAGTTGCTGTGCCTTTCTATACATTAGATCTTAGGAAGTAAAACAAATATATCATGTGACTTTAAGAAAAATGCAAGTTATGTTTATAAACTGTCAACAAGAGAATTCCAGGTAACTCAAATTCCAACATCTGGTCGTTCAGTACATTTTCTGAAAACATTAAAAGGATCTGAGATGCAGAGAAGTGTATAAAACACATCAAAAAGGCACTTTTATAGATGGAATTTAGGCTTACCTTTTTTACCTTTAAACATAAAAAACAGGTAAAGCAGCAGTCATTTTTAAATGAGTTACTCTTTTCCTATTTGAGGATTTATTGGACTGTAATGAACTAGCTCAATATAAATGTTGCACAAAATTTATATTTATATTGGGTATTTTACTTTTTAAAAAGTATACACCATTTAAAAATCAAATAAAAGGAAGGGTATTGGGCACTATTCAACAAAAACTATTCATGATACATGTTGTACTTAAAACTAATGCATTAAATTAATCACTAAATGTGGGTAGGCATTTAAATTTTGTAAAATTAAGTATAAACCCTACTACATTTGATCATTTCATATAATATTCCATATCACAGAATGCCTTTCATAAAACCTTTAAAAATGTAACTGGAAACTCACCTAACAAAATGTATTGAGCAATTAATCCAAATAAGAAGATAATTTTTTAGTGATATCTTCAATAAAAAGTTTAAATCAGCATTTGGGGAAAAAAAACGCTGTATAGACAATTTCATTTAAGGCTGAAGTCAAAGTTAAAATCTGTATCTACTAAAAAATTAATGACTTAGTACAAACAATGTTGATAAGACAATATTTGGAAAATAAAACAAATTGGTAAGAATTAAATGATGTCCATCCAAAAGTTCATCACAAAGCCAAATACTATCAGTTGCCAATTAAAGATCTGAAAAATCCATTTTAAAAGATGTTAATATTCAGCTCAGAGATCATCATCACAGATTGATTATTTTTCTATAATCATGTCTCTATGAGAAGAATGCAAGTGGAAAAAATACATCTCACTTAATTACAGAAAGATAGGTTTCTTATTTTCTAGGAGCTCCATTCTTCTATAAAACACAAACCTTAAGGAAAACCAGGCTTCACTGCATATAAACTCATTAAATTACATAAGCAAGAGGACATTAACCTGAGGCTGTCTCCTACTTTGAGTTCCTACAAACAAACTCCACCTAACTTAGTAGGTAAACAAACCACAATGTAATTTAGGAGTATATTTTTTGTAACAAATAGTTACACATAGTTACAGCCCTGTTTGCAATTCAGCCCATTGCAAACAGTCAAGATTCAGCTAACAGCAGGCAACCAACTGATTAGAACTTGCCCAAATAAAGCAAATGCCTTATTGCATCATGCCCAAAAAAGGCAAATGCCTTATCACACTATGCCCGAATAATGCAGATTCCTACTTGTACCTAATCAAGTGATTTTTCCAGTTTTTTTTTTTTTGTTTTTTCTATGCTTGTATTCAGTCTATAAAAGATCACTGCTGACACTACTGGGCAGAGCTCACTGAACCACTTCTGGTTCTAAGTGCTGCCTGATTCACGAATTATCCTTTGCTCAAATAAACCCTGTTAACTTTTTCTCTAAAGTTTTTCTTTTAACAAACTAAATGTACCTACAAGTATTTATTTCGCCACATACTAAAAAACTTTACTTTAAAACAATAATTGAATAAAATTTGTAAAACATTTTAAACACAATTTTCATTGTTATGCAGAACATTTAATATCTGGAACTGGGGCAAAGCAAGGTTTATCTTTCACGATTGTTTTTAAATTGATGTTTAAATTGTTTTTAAATTCATGTTTTAAATTCATGTTTTTAAATTGTTTCATGATGTTTAAATTATTTTTAAATTCAACAATTTAAAAACAACCCTACAGATTCAGAATGTGGAGTCATTCACGATTTAACAAAAGCAGGGACCTGATCTCTCTTGGACAGGCAAGAGCAAGCTATTTGAATAGCACGTAAGCCTGGGTCTCCATCACACTCAGCGTCCTATTTTGTTGCTTTCAGCCTATAATTTCAAGCACAGTAATGCTCTTGAGGGATTGATTTCTTCTTTTCTTTTTTTTCTTAGCTTTGGTTTTTGTATAAAATCAGAAAAGTTTATCAGAAAAGGTTAACTGCTAGCAAATATAATAAAATGAAAATAAAAATTCTTAAGTGATTGTTGTCTAAAAATACAAGCATAGAATAAATTAAAGTGTAGAATGTAGAAGTCCACAACTCAATCACTTGAGCACTGGCAAATCCACCAAAAGTGAATGTTCTAATAGTGAAAAATTAATTCACCTATCAATGGACAGAACTTCAGTGAAAGTTGAAAGCATGGTTAACCTGCGTGTATGACTATTTGCAGGAATTATGACCCTCAGAAAAATGTGAAGTGCCAAAGAAAGCCTGCACTTGCCCAGTGGTGAAGAGTTGTCAAAGACTCTATTACCATGGACAAAGTTTTGTAAAAGGATTTTAAGAAGTTTTTTTTTCTTTGTGCATGATATCAAGGCAATGAGGGAAAGCAGATTAGCTGCTGAGCAAAGTATTTTCTTCAGAGTTGAAGAGATACTAAAGGAAAAGGACAATAAGTGCTCAGCGAGACCCAAGCCAGCTTATACTGAAGAATACACCTCTGGGAACCAATGCATCTCAAAAGGAACTGTGAACATTAGAGTGGTGGAGAAAGATGGTCCTTCTGCACTGTGGCCATGCTGCAGGCCTGGTGATTAAGTCAGGCTTTTGCTATCCTTTAAACCCCAGGACATTGAAGGGCAAACAGAAGGACCTCTCACACATGAACTGGCAGTTCAATAAAAAGTGTTGGGTCACAGCACAACACTTTTTCAGAATGATTTCTTAAGGGCTGTGAGCCAAAAGTGGAACAATATCTCCCTTTACTGAACATCAATTAAAGATTGTGCTCATGAAAGATATTGCAGAGGGCCAGATACGGTATCTGAGTTTGCACATTTAAGTTGAGGTTGTGCTGCTTATTTCCATAGTAGACAGTATTGGTAAGCTTTAATAAATTATTTAATTCCTTTATTTGTAGAATCACTAAGGTTTTATTTAACTTTTTAGAATTCTCTATTAGAATGTATATGGAGTAATAGATATATAATATGTAATACATATTTAAAATATTTGCCTAATGTAACAGATATATCCCTTATATATGAAAATATTCCATGTTACCTTGGAAAAGTACTATCTTACTGTGTACTAGTCTAAATAATGCTAACCTCATATACAAGGCCATTTGTTGTTTTTTTATAACTAAATATTTCCAAAAATCTGTTTAAGTTCTTCTAAGTAAATATCTCCTTACAACATTATTTCAACCACTAATTTGCTTAAACAAGTTCTCTCTTTAGAAAATATGGAGGAAAACAGTATCCTTTTCTTAAACTGAAATATCCAAAATATTTGGAAGTTTGGAAGTTTTCCAGCCTGGCCAACATGGTGAAACCTCGTCTCAACCAAAAAAAGAAAAAAAAACAAACAAAAATTAGCCATGCATGCTGTTGCATGCCTGTAGGCCTGCAACCTCAGGGGCCTGAGGTGGGAGGGCCACCTGAGCCCTGGGAGGTCAAGGCTGAAGTGAGCCATGATCGCATCACTGCACTCCAGCCTGGGCAGCAGAGTGAGACCCTGTTTCAAAATAATAATAATAATAAACTTTTAATAAAGCTTTTTACTGAAGATGTTATAATATTACAGTTAATCCTTGAACAACACAGGTTTGAACAATACAGGCCCACTTACATGCTGGTGTTTTTCAATAAATATACTGAAAGAATTTTGGGAGATTTGCAACAATTTGAAAAAGCTCACAGATGAACCAGGTAGCCCATATATATTTAAAAATTTAAGAAAAAATTAGGAATGTCATAAATATATAAAATATATGTAGATACCAGTCCATTTTATCATTCACCACTTAAAGTATATACCAATCTATTATAAACATTTTAAAACTATCAAAACTTATGCACACAAACATTACAGACCATACATGGTGCCATCTGCAGTCCAGAGACATATAATAAAATACAAAAATGCAGTATTAAATCATAACTACATAAAATTAACTGTAGTACATATTGTACTACTGTAATAATTTCATAGCCAACCCCTGTTGCTATTGCAATGTGCTCAAGTGTTGCTAGTATTAGCTTAAAACGCCATGTGATGCTGATCATCTCTTAGTGAATTGATCCTCTCTCCAATAAAATGAATTTAGCAGTAAAAGGTGATTTCTCATGGTCTTTGTGTATTTTTCATCATGTTTGTTGCAATACTGTAAACCTTGAGTAATACCATGGAACCTATGCAAAGTACCACAAGTGATGCTGAAAGTTTTCCCAAGAAGCAGGGGAAAGTCATGACATTACAAGAAAAAGTGAAATTGCTTGACAAGTACCACATATTGAAGTCTGCAGCTGCAGTTGCCTGCCATTTCAAGAAAAATGAATCCAGCATGTAAAAAAAAGAAAAGGAAATTCATACATTTGTCACTGCATCTACTCCAGCAGGTGCAATAACCCTGCACTTTGTGCAAAATACTTTTTAATCTCATATCAAAAATGCAGCTTTTATGGGGTGCAGGATTGCTATAAGAAAGGCATACCTTTTATGTCTTTCTAATGTGATTCAAGAAAAAGTGAACTCATTATATGAGAATTTATAGCAAAAAGAAGATAAAGGGCCTAAAGCTGGAGAATTTAATGCCAGCAAAGGATGGTTTGATAATTTTAGAAAAAGGTTTGGCTTTAAGAAATGTCAGTGTGGCGATTCCTCAGGGATCTAGAACTAGAAATACCATTTGACACAGCAATCCCATTACTGGGTATATACCCAAAGGATTATAAATCATGCTGCTATAAAGACACATGCACACGTATGTTTATTGTGGCACTATTCACAATAGCAAAGACTTGGAACCAACCCAAATGTCCAACAATGATAGACTGGATTAAGAAAATGTGGCACATATACACCATGGAATACTATGCAGCCATAAAAAATGATGAGCTCATGTCCTTTGTAGGGACATGGATGAAGCTGGAAACCATCATTCTCAGCAAACTATCACAAGGACAAAAAACCAAACACTGCATGTTCTCACTCATAGGTGGGAATTGAACAATGAGAACACATGGACACAGGAAGGGGAACATCACACACCGGGGCCTGTTGTGGGGTGGGGGGAGTGGGGAGGGATAGCATTAGGAGATATACCTAATGTTAAATGATGAGTTAATGGGTGCAGCACACCAACATGGCACATGTGTATATATGTAACAAACCTGAACGTTGTGCACATGTACCCTAAAACTTAAAGTATAATAAAAAAAAAATCCTAAAAAAAAAAAAAAAAAGAATGTCAAGATAACAGAAGCAGGAACTCCTGCCAACCAAAAAGCAGCAGACGAGTTCTCAGGTGCCATTAAGAAAATCAGTGAGGAGAAAGAATATCTGTCTGAACAGGTTTTTAATACAGATGAAAGTGCCTATTCTGGAGGAAAAAAATGCCACAAAGAGCATTTATTAGCAAGTAAGAGAAGAGGAGTAGGACCAAGATTTAAGGCAGGAAGGGACAAGCTAACTCTGCTGTTTTGTGCAAATACAGTTGGGTTTTTTATCAGGACTTTCCTTAACTATAAAGCTGCTATCTCCTGAGGGAAAAGATAAACATCAGCTGACATCTTTTGGTTGTACAACAGGAAGGCCTGAACAATGAAAACTCTTCCTGGATTGGTTCCATTAATGCCTCGTCCCTGAAGTCAGCAAGTACCTTGCCAATAAGAGAACCCCAATAGAGAGATCATCGTGAAAGTCTGGAAGGATTACATCATTGAAGATGCATTTTTGTTACATAAGAAGCCAGGAAAGTCATCAAGCCTGAAACAATAATTTCCTGCTGGAAAAAATCTGTGTCCAGATGTCATTTGTGACTTCATAGGATTTACAGCAGAACCAAGCAAGAAAATCATGAGAGGGATTATGGATATGGCCAAAAAAAAAAAAAAGTGAGGGGTGCAGTGTGAAGAGTTTCATGACGTGGATTTTGGAGAAATTCAAGAGCTAACAGTTACCACACCAGAGGAATTAACAGAAGACATATTAATGAATATGAGTGCTTCCAAACCAGTGCCGGATAATGAATAAGAGGACACAGAAGAAGCAGTGCCAGAAAATAAATTGGCATTAGACAATCTGGCAGAAGGGTTCCAATTATTCAAGCCTATTTTTGACTTATTTTACAACATGAACCCTTCTATGTTGTGGATCACTGAAACTAAAGCCAATGGTAGAAGAAGGATTGGTACTACATGGAAACACTTCTAGAGAAATTAAAAGGAAAAATGTCAGACAAAAATTACAATGTATTTCCATAAAGCTACATAGAGTGTGCCTGCCTCTCCTGCCTCCTCTTTCACCTTCTCTGCTTCTTTCACCTCTGCCACTCTGAGATAGCAAGACCAACCTCTCCCCTTCCTCCTCCTCAGTCTGCTCAACATAAAGATGACGAGGATACTTTTCTGATGATGCACTTCCACTTAATAAATAGTAAATATATTTTCCCTTCTTATGATTTTCTTAATAAGATTTCCTTTTCTCTAACTTACTTTATTTCATTAGTAAACAACTGCAGTTAGAGGAAAAGGTAACTCTTCACTTTAGCCTATAAAAGGTCATTTTTTTAAATTCTCTTTTTTTGTTATTTTTGTTTGGGTTTTGTCTAGGAGGCAGTTCATTTGTTTACATTTTATTTTATTGCAAGAATACAAATATAAAAATATAACATATAAAATATGTGTTAACCGGCTGTTTATGTTATCAGTAAGGCTTCCTGTCAACAGTAGCCTATTAGTAGTTAAGTTTTGGGGGAGTGAGAAGTTATACATGGATCTACTGCATGGCCGATCAGCATCCCTAACCCTTTCTTTGTTCAAGGGTCAACCATATTTTCTTTTAAAAGTTATTTTTTTTTTAGCTAAATTGCTTTTAAATGTACTATATTCTACCTAAAGCTACATTCTTATTCACAATGTACTTCCTATACTTTTTCTCTCTCTCCCTTTGGCATCCTGGAGAATTGACTGCATCTGATATGAAATCAAATGTCTTTTCTACCCCAACACAACTGAGAGACATAATTCATTCAAGAGTAGTGTCTTGCTACACTAGTAACTGTGGGATAACAGGGAGTACACACTTCTAAAAGGAACAGTCGCCTAAGATTATAAATAAATAAACAACCTGGGTTAGAGGAAAAGATAACTCTTCACATTAGCCTCTAAAAGGCAATTTTTTAAAATTCTGGTTTGTTGTTATCTTTATTTGGGTTTTGTTTAGGAGGAAGTTCATTTATTTACATTTTATTTTTTATATTTCTTATTTTGTGTCTTTTTAAAATTTATCAATTTACATATTTAAGGATTAAATTGCCTGAAGGTACAAATACAAACATAAAAAATTTAGCTAAAATACATAAAGCACAGCAGCAGCCATCAGCATATATTACAATACCAAGTAGCTCTCATAAAGATGCCCCCAAACTCAATAGGTTGGATTTCCCTGCCAAGAATAATTAGAGCCTCCACCAAACTCCACAAATCTTCTTGTCACCAGATAACGAACCTCAGAATTAATTTCCACAGTGCTGTACCTATTCTGAGTTGTTCATATAGAAAAAAGACCTGAACTGTTAAGAAATATATAGATCATCACTGATACCTTAAGATATACCTAGAAACAAACAACATTGAATGCAGTAGCATTATCAAATATCTAATAAATATGGTATTTATATTTAAAAGTACATGGTCTCACAGGGTACCTCACCTAAAGCAATGCAAGTCTTCTCATTTTAATGGATAGGGATGATGGGGTGGGGGTGGAGATTGGGGGTTGTTTGGTAACCAAAGTGACAGCCTGTGAGATAGAGGGACCAAACACAGAAAGATTTTTAAAACTGGAAATACAGTTTACATTATATTTGTTGTGCACATATATTGACTACTTCTTGTCAGTGAGAGGAGCATTTATCTAAATTATGGGTTAGCCAACCTTTTCCGGTCAAGAAAGAGGAACACACTACATGGTGCAGTAACACCAGTGCCACCACCACCCAGCACAGGCATTGTACCTTACAGTCTACAGAGTACTTTTAAACTCACACACTCTCTGTATCTTTGTGCTCATAAGACATGCTCTGTGAAATAGTTAATAGATATCACCCTTACCCTCATTATGCAGATGAGAAAAATAGGCTCAAAAACACTAGTTTATCCAAGAAACCAACATAACGTGAGAAAATAATTTTGCTTATGTTTCTATACCACATTCTGAAGTCCCATTGGCCTGACCTGGCCTGTTTCACACTGACACTCATTGTAACTTAGCTGTTCTGCAAGTTGAGACCACACCATCTTCCAAGGTGCACACTACCTCTACACAGCACAGTGATGTAGGTAAACAATTGGTTCCACTACTTTTTTTTTTCCAGTGTCAGAGTCATAGCTCACTGCATCCTTGAACTGTTGTGCTCAAGCGATCCTCCCACCCCAGCCTCCCAAGCAGATAGAATTACAGGCACAAGCTACCACGCCCAGCCCCACTACTTTGTGATTAAGAGTAACCTTTCACAGATTATTTTGAATTCCAGTTCCCACAGCTTATAATAACAAGCTTGCCAATGGCTTTGAAAATTAAATGAAATTCTGTTTAAAAATTGTGCTGCCAATTATGAAATGCTACAGAAAATTTCACCCATTCAGTTGGTCAGCTACAAATATTTAAGTGTCTTCTGTGTGTCAGGTACCGCAAATATAATCATGAGCAAAACAAATATAGTTTCTCCCCTCCTGATGCTGAATTATGGTTACTAGTCTGAATGATGATTATTAGTGATCTTAGGCTGATTGGTGTACTTAAAACAGAAATCTGTAATAAAGTAGCATTTTCATAAAAGCAAGTCCAGAAGCAAATTGAGTAACACAAACAGCATAAAATGTGAGAAGATATTTTCATATATTTAATATAATAGCTTGATGATTATAGACTGTGTCTTGTTTAAGATGCATGGCAACGGAAGCACAGCCATGTACAGAATAACGACATTTTGGTAAATGATGGACAGCATATGAGACAGTGGTCCCATAAGATTATAATACATATTTTTACTGTACCTTTTCTATGTTTAGATACACAAATACTTACCATTGTGTTACAATCACATACAGTATTAAGTACAGTAACATGCTGTACAGGTTTATAGCCTAGTAGTAACAGGCCAGACCATATAGCCTAGGTGTGTAGTAGGCTATGCCATCTAGGTTTGTGTAACTATACCCTGTGATGTCCGCACAATGACAGAATTGCCTAAGGACACATTTCTTAGAATATATACTGACATTAAGTGACACATCACTATATGTGAACAATCTGGAAACAATTCATAGATAAGCTACAGATATGGTTAATTGGTTAGAAAATAATATCTATAGAACAAGTTTAAAGGACCAAATTTGTTATCCTAAAAGACAGAAAAAAATCAAAAGAAGCTTAGTAAGAGTTGTCAGGTTAATTCAGTTATGTAACTTCTGCTTCTTTCCGTCTCCACTGAGGACAAGTGCTCAAATTGAAGCATAAAGGTAGTCAGATTTGTGGCGGGAAGGTCCTACTGTAAGACTTTTTAAATAATTGATTGCCAAAAAAGAGAAAATTTTATTTCCTTAATTCTTTGAATAAGAAGTGACATTCTTTTGTGTCTGAAATTGTGTGGATATGTGAAAATAAACTCTAATTTTTCAAAATCCAGAAATCCCTGCTACTTTTATTTGGTGTTCATTTCCCTATAGTTATGTAAAAGGATCTACTATCTCTCATTTAAATTTATTCTGAAAGAGTGGGACAGAGAAAGAGGAGCTGAATTTAACAATTGTCTTCATTTTTATGAAAGAACACCACATGGAAATTAGAACAATTGTTCTACATGTCCTTAGAGGCCAACGCCACAAGGAATTGGCTTAAATGAGAACATGGAAGATTTGGGTTAGACAATTCCTAAGTACTAGGCAGAGAAGAGTAGAGCGGGTCAGCAAGCATATGTTTAACATTAGTAGGGTTGGACGACTGGGAACAGAAGTACCAAGTGGGTTCTATCTTGAATGGAGACATCTGCTATTCTAAAAATATAACTTTTTAAGGTCCAACTTAAATCTGCTTTTGAGTAGATTTTCTACAGTGTCAACTCAGTATCGTGGATTTAATTTTTCCTTCTTTTTTTTTATTCTTCCAGAAAATAGAAATATCGGTAAATTTCTCTCGGATTCCACCTACTAACCATCAGAGAAATCTACTATTTTATTACTATGGTATATGATAAGACACTTTAAATATTAAAACTAAATCTATTATGTATCCATAATGTCTACCTCAGCAGTTTTTGGACAATTGTTACGTAGAAATTTCATTTAGATTCTATTTATTTATATCCCACCTCTTTTAAAAACTGATTTGAGATAGTTTTCAACAAGATGTCATAATAAGGTTAAAAAACAGATATTAAAAAGTTAAGAAAAAGACAACTCAAGTGTCTGCTTTCTAAGTTGTTGTGCTTGACCTTTAAACCTGGCTCCTGGCACCCAGAGCATAAAGAGAAATGCAATATAATAAAGACTATTATAGTTCACAGTGAAGAAGCATTCCAGTTTCTAAGGGAGAAAAGCTTCTTATAACACTAGATTACTGATTTCAACTTTTCTGAAAATAATATGAATATATATACACCGAAGATAAATCAGAGAGTATAAAAATATGAAACATACTTTTTAAAAAAAAAATCAGAAATCCTGCCCTCAGAAACAGCCATTTTTATCACTTCAGTGTATTTCCTTCCTATCTCTTTTCTGTGCATTCTACCTACTTTAGTTCCAAGTATATAATTTTGAGATTTGTTTGATTTGCTTAACATGAACCTTTTTAATGATTACATAATGTTTAATTACATGGACATAGTAAACAAATCATTACTTTAATGTAAACTCTTCAGATCATTCATAAATTTTTACCATTATAAATGGTATTTTATTGACCATCTTTGTATAGAAACGTTTATCTGCAACTCTGACAATTTCCTTTAAAAAATATTTCTAAAATTGAAGCTACTTGATCAATGGCTATAAACATTTTAAAGATCCTGCTGTTAGAGACAATCCTTGGAGTGATACGTATGCTGCTATATAAAAGAATGAGGAAGATCACTATGAACTGATATGGAATAACTTCCACAACATTTTGGTAGATTTAAAAAACAAGGTGCAGGCCGGGCGCGGCGGCTCACACCTGTAATCCCAGCACTTTGGGAGTCCAAGGCAGGTGGATCACCTGAGGTCAGGAGTTTGAGACCAGCCTGGCCACCATGATGAAACTCTGTCTCTACTAAAAAAATACAAAAATTAGCTGGGCATGGTAGCAGGCACCTGTAATCCAAGCTACTCAGGAGGCCGAGGCAGGAGAATCACTTGAACCCAGGAGGTGGAGGTTGCAGTGAGCCGAGATTGTGCCAGTGCACTCCAGCCTGGATGACAAGAGTGAAACTCCGTCTCAAAAAAAAAGGAAGCAAGATCACATATGTGCATTTTTCTTATTTTTCTTTCTTTGTTACCTTGAAGGAGTCATCTTGAAGGGGCTTCTACTGGCCAAATCTGGGACAATGAGTACAGTAATGAATTATAAGTCATTTTAAAAAATTGGAATTAATGAGTCTATACAGACAAATAAGAAAGAAGGGAGGCAATTTGCTTACAATAGAATGCTTAGGGCCAGGTGATAAATGTAAAGGGGGTACTGGAGTTGAAAATCAGCATTCTACAACCATCACAGTAAAGATAGGAACTAACAAAATGATCAATAGGTACTAGGTTACAGGAGAATTTTATAAAGAGTAGAATATTTTTATGTTCTTAAAGTGTTTCTACACGGGAAAAAAAATAATTACATAATGAAGAAATCAGACCACTTTTGACCAGGTAAATGAAATGAACATTGTCAAGGAAGGGCAGATGGACATCATGTGCTTCCAGATGTGATACTTTGAGAAAGCCACAACATCACATAAAAAGCATTTCAACAAAGAATGTATAATCAGAATCTAATGAGGAACATTAGACAAACACAACATGTAGAATCATGTATTAAAGAAAAAGAAAGCAGCTATACTCTTCAAAGAAGTCAAAGTCATAAAAGACAAACTAGGGCTGCAGGACAGTTCTAGATTAAACGAGGATGAGGAGACATGACAACTAAATGCAACAGCTGATCTTAGACTGGATCTTGTACTGAAGGGGAATAAATCAATATAAAAGACTATTGAGTCAACTGACAAAATTATTAAATGAATGGTAGATTAGATAGTAAACATCATTGCATTAATGTTAAATTCATCAAAGCCAATAACAGTACTGTGGATATGTAAGAGAATATCCCTATTCTTAGGAAATACATACAGAAGTGTTGAGGTCACGATTTTTGTATCTTAGCTTCAAATGGTCTGCAAGGTAATTATAAAGCAAATGGGTTAGAATATTAATAATAGATCTAGGTAAAAGTCATGCAGGTGTTCTTTGTACTAATTATATTCTTGTAACTTTTTTTAAGTTTGAAATTATTCACAAGTAAAAAGTTTAAAAATTAAAATAAAATGATTTTTCCAATTTGCTCACCCACCAATAATAATTATTGAAGATACTTCCTTCATTTCTTCCTTATAGCACAATATTATTGTTTTTTGTAATCTGCTATTTTGACAGGGAGAAATAGTATCCAAATGTTCATTTATTTGTTACTTAATGAGGTTGAAATATGTCCATATATTAGCAATTTATATTTTTCTTATTTGTAAATTATTTTTTGTTTGTAAATTATTTTTTTATTTCTAGGAATTATTAAAAGACTGTTCTTTCAAATAAGCTACATTGAATCATGAATATGGTGAACAAAATCTTCAACTACATTTTTATAGAAAATTCAGAATTGAATGTTACAAGGCTTCTTCCTTCAATAAATTTAATAATGTTGAAGTATGATTGACAGGAGGTCAAAGTACATAGTTCCCTTCCAGAGAACTTCAGTTTTCATTCCTTTAAAATACCCATGCACTACAGGTAGATTGCCACTAGGTGGGAGTAGTGCTCAGTGAAGCAGTGTAAGCAGCCAGAGCACCTCGATGTGTTGATATCCAAGCATTCATTCATTCAACAAATCTAGAAGTCTCTTTTCTAGGCTGCTGGTTCTTTGCACCCAATTCCTCACAGATTTAAAAGCATGTATTATCAGTATTTTAGTCAGAGATAATTTCTTTCTTAAAAATTATTTCAAAAAGAAATGTAATTATTATGTGAACAAGTATCAATACACTTTAAATTTTTAAAAGAAATTAGAATTCTATGATACATGATTGATATCTTACCTCACTACATATTAGCTGTCCAATTAGCAGTTTACTCTAACTCTACAGACCCCAAAATGGAATTTACTATATTTCACCCTGGACTCTTTAATCTAAGATCAATTTCCCCCTAGTTGGATTAGTCATCCCTCTGATTCTCTCAGTTTAAGAAACAGATCTCAAAGCAAAAGAGGTGGCCTACACCTCTCTAATGGTTCCACTAATGCTGTTCATCTCACACTCCTCAAATCTACTTTCAGGTAACAAGGCACCAAAAACATAAGAAAAGCATTTATGGCCAAGGAAGTACCCTTCTTCCTTTCTGGACTGGTCCCTCTTTCTCCCACTCAAAAGGAACCATTTATCTAATTTTTATACATAAAATGTTTACTTCGATTTTCTTTATGACATTGCTCCTTCCATCAATAACTTCTTCATTTAAATATAAATAAAATTAGCTACTAATGAACAGATCTAGTACTTGTACCATTCAGCAACAGGACACTTTTTAACAAGACAAAGAAATTCAACACTTAAACAACTAGAGTGAATAACAAGAGGTTTAGAAAGTGGCAAAAAATTACCTCATCATACCTTGTGTTATCCGCATTTTAATATAAGTAGACCAAAAAAGTGTCATGAGACTTTAGGGAAATATAAATAACAATTTTCAATTAACACTTTTGATTCTGAATCAAACAGCAAGCAACCTGTGATTTTCCTTACTGAGAGGTTTCCTTTTGAAAATTATCTCCACTCACCTTTATGTCTTTGTGTGTTCTGCCTGTGTGACATATATTTAAAAATCAGTATCTATACAATGAATGGGATTCAGATTTACTATTTTCTATTTTGTACAACACATGTCTGCAACAAAACATTATTTGCCTATATATGTGTATGAGTTAATAATGAGTTCTCAGGACGCTTGACTTCCTTAACCTACTTCTGCTCCTCTATGTCATTTTCCCTCCCCATCTCTTGCTCCCACATCCATTTCCCTCCTCCCTTCTAAGCCTCTATTCTCAGTTGTCTCTCCTCAACCTTCTGCTCTGAGCCTAAGACCTCATTATCTCTGCCCCAAACATTTGATAATCTCCTAACTCCCTTCCTTCTATGATCTCATCCCACAAATCTAAACTTAACTTCACAGAAACCTGGCCCTATCACTCAAAAGTCCTCAGAATTCCCATCACTTAGAAATAAAGCCTAGATTCCTTAGAAGGAAATAAGGTTCTTTGTTTTCTGATCTCTACCTTCCTCTGAATAGTGTCTTCCACCTGCAATTTAAAATCCAGCAATTCCTAATTAACCCAAGTTCTCTAATCATATGATTCATCCTTTCACATCTCTAGAACTTTGCATGAAATTTTTTCTTGTCTGGAATGCTTTTGACCTCACACTCCACAGCCTTTTGGCAAACCTTTATTCATTCTTCAAAGCTCAATTCATTTGCTTTCTCCCTGAAGTCTTCCTTATCCCCCCGCCCTGACCCAGCTTTCCTTCCTTTCGTCCTTCTGCTTTCTTTAATATCTTATCATTACTAAAATATTTACAGATTAAATTAGCCCTTCCATTTCCTTAATTATATTTTATGCATGGAGGAGTCATGAAAAGATAGACATTTAGTAATATCAGTCCCCCAGGAAAATTTTTCAAAACTTTTAAAGCTATGTATAAAAATAGTGGCTGGGTGTAGCGGCTCAACCTGTAATCCCAGCACTTTGGTAGGCTGAAGAGGGAGTATTGCTTGAAGCCAGGAGTTCAAGACCAGCCTGAGCAACGAAGTGAGACCCCTATCTCTATGAAAAATAAAAAATAGCTGGGCATGGTGACACATGCCTGTGGTCCCAGCTACTCGAGAGGCTAAGGCAGGAGGATCACTTGAGTCCACAAGTTTGAGGCTGCAGTTAGTTATAATCACTCTATTGCACTTCAGCTTTGGTGAATATAAATATATTAATATGTAATAAATATAGTAATATATTTATTATATTTATATCGATAGATAAACATGTATTTATGTATGTAGATCTTTTAACTATATATGTAGTATATAAATACATATAATATATGAATTTTTATATATATATACATAAATATATAAATATATATAGACTATATATATAGTCAAAAGATCTACATACAAGTGCACTTTGATAAATTTTGCATATTTATAAAATATTTAGGGAAAATGTTGATTAGACGATTTATTTCAACATAACATTAAAATCTATGTCCAAAATGCAATTCCTATAGGTAAAACAAATCAAAAAAGCCTCTATAGTTCCCCAGATCTGCTAATTCTCATTTAAAACATTTAATACAAGATGTCCTATGATAGGAAGATTCTATTCAAGATTACAGTACCTTCTATTCATATGCATAAAATAGGATGTGCAAAAATGAATAAAGAATGCAATGAGCATATGTTTATGTATCATCAGATCAAAATAAAACATTACCTATATAGTGGGAGTCCTACCCAGGGCCCATTCATTGACCATACTTCTCTCTCCCATCAAAATGACCACTGTGCTGAACTAGTTTGTTTCATGCTTTTTAAAATAGTGGGTGTGTTTGTGTGTGTGTGTATGTATGTGTGGGTTTCACATGAACATACGATCTAAGCAAGTAAGTGTTTTACTAGGGCTGCTTTTTTGATGCTATTTTTTAACGGTTTTAAAAAAGAAAACACAAAGAAACCTATGTGCCTGTCATAGCTCTAGAAATTGAGGTATAGATGGAAGTCACTGAATCTAATATGTAAACAAAGACAGCAATACTTGCTGCATTCATTAAATCCACCATCTTTTTCTTTTCTTTTCTTTTCTTTCTTATGCAGACATTCTGCTAGGTGCCCAGAAGACAGAGTGGAACAAGACAGGGCTTGCTCCACTGGAGCTCACAATCTGACAGAACATATATAAACATATAATTATAATACAGTATGATGTGGGAAGGCCAGGATTAGAGATAAAGGATGGATAGAGGATGGAAAAACGGACTACGAGGATGTAGCAGGAAATGCTCCCTGAGGAAAGCAAAATCTTGGCTTAGTCCTTACAAGTTAGAAAATTTCCAAATCCAATAAACAAGAAGGCTAGTAAAGGAGAAATAAAGGTAATTAAAGCCTATTAACTTTCTGATTGAAGTTCAAAATTCTTTTACTAACACAGTTGAAATTTGAGTCCTAAAAGTTTTCTGAAATGAGTGTCTCTCAATTTTAGATCCAAATTAACTACTTGTAAATTAGAACCCATTCACCTTTATCCTTAGGTGCTTATATATATGTAAGTCTGATACACTTGAGTACATAAAGTTCTATATCTGTAATTGGGGACATAAAATACTCAACAGTCTCACAAGTAGTACAAAATATTTAACTCAGAAACCCACCAGCTGCCAATACAACCTGTAGAAACAATAACTGAAAAAAAAAAGAAACAAAAACTGGCATAGAAGATCATTCCAATAAGAAGACCCAACCTTCTCCTGTAGAAATAGGGCCAGTTTCCAGCCCCTCCCTGGAACTAGACCAGACTATAACAAGGAGGTTTGAACAGCACCAAGGGTCTAGCCTAGGCTTCATCCACAGAAGCCCTAGCATACTGTGTATAACCTGTGTCCAGTCCTGAGCTTGGGATCATCAGACAGCCCTAAAAGAAAGCTAGGTTCCCAGTGACCTTCCAAAGCAAAAGTGGTCCATGCTGAATCTTCTCCACCCTTCAACTCCACATCCTTCAGAACCGCTCTTCTCTTCAGGTTATCCTGTGTCACAAACCAGAAATCTCAGACTCATCAAATTGTTCCATACCCATTTGCCTCACTCATGAATTCCTAAATGCATTATATTACACAAAACACACAATTGTGTATGTGTGTGTGTGTGTGTGTAATTGCCCTCAATGTAATATATTTTATTCTTACCTTGATGTTGACATAAACTCCTGGAATCAGAAAATAAACCTAAAGTATGAGCCCAGCTTACCAAAAGGGACCTCAATGGCAATCTTCAAAGATGAAAATACAAAATATACATATTACCACTGCCTCAAACCATTAATCAATGATCCATTGATAAGTAAGAGTTTTGATCATGTTTGGATTTATAAGTTTCTATAGCAGTGAATGAGGTCCGAAATTATAAATCCCTGCCTTTATTCCTGCCTCTTGCAATCCTTTTTTTTTTTTTGAGACGGAGTCTTGCTCTGTCACCAGGCTGGAGTTCAGTGGCACAATCTAGGCTCACTGCAACCTCTGCCTCCCAGGTTCAAGTGACTCTCCTGCCTCAGCCCCCCGAGTAGCAGGGACTACAGGCACCTGCCACTATGCCCGTTCACACTTTAGAATTAAAGTATTCTTTATAATATTTAAGAATGATCAGTTGGCTCTATTTCATGACCTTGAAACAGTGTCCAAATTCCGTAGTTATAAACCTTTTCAAAATGTGGCCTCATCTCTCTTCATTCATCTTCCTCTCACATTTACCACTGCAGCCATGTTAAATTTTCCTTAAGAACCATGTTTATTCCAGCCTCCAAGCTTTTGCGCAACTTTATTCTCTGTCATAACATGCTTCCTAACTTTTACATCTTTCGAAATCCAACTCGAATATTCCTCCAGGTAGCCTTCTCCAATCTTGCCTGTTAGTAATCACGTAATCACTTTGTCCTCTTCTGTATCCTACATGTTGTATTACTGCATTTACCACAGTGTAATATAATTAATTTACATTTGTGTCTCCCATACTTTACCACACAGTTCCTTTAAGACAGGACCTAAAAGTTACATTTGATACCCCTATGGGATACAATAATACCTGTAGTATAACAACTGACACATAGTACAGGCTTTATGTCAATTGAATTGAGCTAAAAGTGCTATGCCATAACCGGTCTAATACCCAATCTCTTCCATGATTGATTTTATTAACAGTTTAGTCTATTTCTGGCCAGTTTGGTTCTCTTGGGAAAAAGAAACAATGGTTTACCATGGTAATATCAATGATGGAAATGGTTATGCTTAATGTTGCCCTATACAGAGTCCCAATTACAACCCGTAATTGTTATTTGATATAATGTAAGTAATAATTGCTAATGCTCATTATTGCTAATATCAACTGTTTATTATGTTTCTGGCATGAAACTATATGTTTTTATATGATTATCTAATGAAATCCCTAAAACAACTCTTCCTGATTTCTTATTCAATAAATCTGCTTTGATGTGACCTCCAGGTCACTTTGGAAATTAATTCATTAACTGATTATTTTGTGGCAGTACACATAAATTGTCTTCAGAGAGCATTTGTCCAGTATCCCTGAAGAGAAAGAGTCAGGATATACACATGAAAATGTATTTAAGACTTTTTCCTGAAATTATTTGCTTCAGGGGAATTTAGTGTCTTTGCCCAGTGAGTCTTCCAGGCTGAGTTTAATACACGAGTGAATTAAAAACGTGAACAAATGGCAACGCTGCAAGCATGGTGAGTTTATTGACTTTTGTCATGTAGGAATATCTACTGATAGTAAAGTTAGTGGCAGAAATGCCTGATGTGGTAGACTTTGCCTTGTTTGACATACTGATATATAAATGAGTATTATTGATTAATTTTTTAAAAAGACAATTTTCCACAGACTAGAATAGAATCTGAAAATGCTATTAACCTCACAGCAATGGAAAAGACTCTAACTCAATTTGATGGAGGCAGCTGAAGAGAAATTCAGGTTAGGGGCCAATCACTTCAGAAAAATTAGTTCACTGTACCAGTTGCAGTAGCAAGCAAACATAGTTTTGAACAACCTCCGACTGTATTTGATGTTTCCAGAAGCTCTGAAACACCAGTAGGGAAATATGTGCACAAGTGTCAAATTCTTAAAGCATCCTTTTCTGTTTGTTTGTAGGGTTAAGATAACAACAACAACAACAATAGCAACAACAACAACAAAACCCAAGAGTGCTTGCTTGTTTATGCATTCATAAGAATATTCCCAAATAAAGAAGACTCCTTCTCAACTTTACCAGCTCACATGTGTAACTTAAGGATGGCCTGCATAGGACTATACAATTTTCTGCTTTTTTTCTATTTTATTTAGATAGAAATAAGCATAACAAGTGAATTGTTCTTTGAGAGATGTTGGACTAAACGATTTCATTGATTCTGACAGTTTGAAGACTAAAATTATAAATGATAAAAGTATGAGATTAGAATTGCAAGGACAATTCTAATCTTATACTTTTATTAGAATTGCAAGGACAATTCTAATCTTATACTTTTATCATTTATAATTTTAGTCTTCAAACTGTCAGGATCAATGAAATGCTTTAGTCCAACATCTCTCAAAGAAACACAAGAAGGAGAACATCACACACCGGGGCCTGTTGTGGGGTAGGGGGAGGCGGGAGGGATAGCATTAGGAGATATACCTAATATAAATGATGAGTTAATGGGTGCAGCACACCAACATGGCACATGTATACATATGTAGAAAACCTGCACATTGTGCACATGTGCCCTAGAACTTAAAGTATTATATATATATATATATATTATATATATATATATACACACATATATAAAGATTAGAATTGTCAGTAATCTGAATTGGTTTACGAAGAGGAAATCTGCTAGTAAAAACAGGACAACTGCTAGCTGTGAAGATGTGTTTTATGTAAGAAATGGTAGGGCAAATCTAAAACGATTTGAGTTTTACAAATGTTGTTATTTGCCCAAATTATCCAGCCCAAAATTAATCCTCTCTATATATTAGATACTGCAATCAATTCTTTTATAAAAATTATTCTCTCATTTTTATTAAAATAGGACAGTTTCTAACAAGGAAAAATAAACGTTTCAATGTATATTTTTAACACCTAGTTAAAAGCATTAGTAATAGTGGGAAATTGAGTTAGACACGTGAAAGTGACTGGTTAAAAATATTAAAAGGTGACTATGAATGTATTTTTAGCAAAATGATATATTTGTAAAGAGCTCTTACAAATTAAGAGAACCACAAAAGAAAAAAGTGTACAAATCAGCAATCCATTCATCCAAAGAACGATAATTGGCATGTAAGTATAATGATAAAAATAACAATCTTCACTAATAATCAAAATACAATATCAAAACATTAGGCCATGCATGGTGGCTCACACCTGTAATCCCAGCACTTTGGAAGGCTGAGACAGGCAGATCACTTAAGGCCAGGAGTTTGAGACCAGCTTGGCCAACACAGCAAAACCCTGTCTTTACTAAAAATTAAAAAATTATCCTGGTGTGGTGGTGCACACCTGTGATCCCAGCTACTCGGGAGGCTGATGCAGGAGTATCGTTTGAGCCCAGGAGGTGGAGGATAGAGTGAGCCAAGATTGCACCACTGTACTCCAGCCTGGGCCACAGAGCAAGACTCTGCCTCAAAAAAACAAACAAACAAACAAACAAAAATCAATGTGGTAGCACAAAAAAAAACTAACAACATTTCAAAATATTGATAATACCTACAGGTGGGAGGCATGGTAAATGCTACTTATATAACCCTTTGAGAAAGCAATATATAAGGCTTACAAAATTTTTTATATCCGTTTGATACATTAACCTTACTCCTCACAATTTAGTTTTTTAAATAATCCAAAAGAAAGGAAAGGTATATGGATGTAACAAAATTGCAAAGAAACTAAAAATATCCTCAATATCCAATAACGTGTAAAAGATTAAATAAAGTATGCTATATCAACCAATAGGACTTTGTACAAGAATTAAAATTTATAAATATAAAATTTATAAATATGAATATAAATTCGAAAGAAAAATATTTATCACAAAATAGGTTGAAAAAATCATAGACATATATATCTGTAGAATGATAATTATATAAAAATTACTTATACATAAAAGACCAGGAAGAAAAGTGAAAAATTACATGCTAATTTATTAGATGTAAGAAGAGTGGTCTACATTTATATATATATAATATATATATTTATGTATATAATATATATTTATATATAATGCATATTTATATAATACATGTTAATAAAGTCTAATTTATGTAAAATATTTTATATCTGCTACTAAAATGTGGGCATCTACAAATAGCATAAAACTAGGCCAATACTAGGACATTAACAGAACCAGTTTCAACCCTTCCTTTAACTCCAAACTCTTCAAACTAGGGCAGTCCTATAATCTATGCTGGCTTCAAGCAATTATCTCATCTGAAAATAATAGGAATTCTATTGGATCAGTGAGTCTCACACATTTTTAGTACGGCAATTCTGTGTTCAAATCAAACCTTATATAATATAGATGACAGTAGAGTATCTATAGCTGAAGTATAAGGAGAAGGGTAGTTCTCTGGCAGGCTGGTTCCATTTCTCTAGCCTCTCTTCCCTCTACCTCTAAAAACAATCTTTCTAAGAAGCCTCTGAAAAAAACAAGTGAAAAACAATGGATTAAAGATTTTGGTGGTCCTTTCATATCTAAACTATAATCACTAAAATAGTATGGTTCTCTTCTACTATAATTTAATGTTTATATGTCTGTGTCATACCCTCAACTAAATTGCAAAGGCTTTTAAGTTAAAAACTGTATCTTACAAATTTGCTTTGCCACATCTAAATTTGCTTTGCTGTATCTACTCAAAGGATGAACCAATTAATGAACACAAAAATGGAATTTTAAAATGAAAAAAATCAGTATTTCAATTCGCAACAAAATATGGCCCAACAGTAAGTTAATCTCCCCTTCTGGTTAATAGAAGGTGCATATAAAGTACGGATGGGTTAGCAAATTTCAAAGAATTATAATACGATTCAATATGAGATAATTTAGATATATTGAACAGTATTTACTGAGAAAATATTATTTACGGCAAAGTCACCTTTTAATCACAGATCCTCTCATTTCCTAAAACTCTTAAGCTATGTTTAGTTCTTGACTTGCAGGGAAGAAAAGCAGGCTCACTTCTTTTATATATATATATATATATATGGAGTCTCTCTCTGTCTCTAGGCTGGAGTGCAGTGGCATAATCTCAGCTCACTGTGACCTCTGCCTCCGGGGTTCAAGCGATTCTCCTGCCCCAGCCTCCCAAGTAGCTGGGACTACAGGCACACACCACCATGCCCAGCTATTTTTTGTATTTTCAGTAGAGATGGGGTTTCACCATGTTGGCCAGGATGGTCTCGAACTCCTGATCTCGTGATCTGCCCACCTTGGCCCCTCAAAGTGCTAGGATTACAGGCGTGAGCCACCGCACCTGGCCTCAGGCTCACTTCTAATATTCAAGTTTATTACTTAAAGATCCATAGAGGGAATCAGGAATAAAGTGAAATTTGATGCAGTTGAACTGATGGTTTCACCAAGGGAGACCTGCTCCACAGAATTGTTCTCTCCTACCAAGTTTGAAATTCTCACCATTAGAATCACTGCCCTTAGACAGATTATAACTAAAAAAAAATTGGAGAAAATATCTACCCAGGCAGATTTTCCACGAATGCTCTGTCATATGTTGGTTTATTGGATTGGATAATGGAATGTATAAAGAACCTGAAGCTAAAGGATTGAAAACAAGGAAGTTGGATTAGTAGAAACATAGCATTAGGAGAAACAAAGTGTCAATCCAATGTCTGGTAAAAACCAGAACAAGAATTGTCTAGAATTGTGGCAGGTCTAAGACAAACATATGGAAAGAAACATAAAATGGAAGATCCTGCTTATCAAAATGGGAAATGGGAGCTAATACTGGCCAAACCACTTAACAAGATATATATATAATACTGCCTTTCCATCTATATGCCCTCTTTTGAGGATTTTTTGCTATGGGAACATTAGTTTGGTCATTACAGCCCTAATAATTTAACTTAAATACTCTACCAAATATTTAATTCCTATCTAAATTTTACCAAAAACAATGATACAGAGAAAATGATCATAGGCTTGGCAGTCAGACAAGTCAGGAATACGAATTTCAGCTCCATCACTTACTGGCAACGTAACCTTGACTAAGTCACAGTGCACAGATTGACCCTATTGGTTCGTGACTAAATCTCTTCAGGTTCAAAGCCCAGGGCTACTATTTATCATGTATGCCACCCTGGCTAAGTTACTTAATATCTCTAATTCTCCATTTCTTTATCTTTATGGGGTTGTTGGTGATGATGATGATGATGATGTAGATAGATGATAGATAGATAGATAGATAGATAGATAGATAGATAGATAGATAACTATATATAAATAAAGCCCTTATCAGTTTCCAGCATATAGAAAACATTAATAAATATGTACTACCATTATTAAGTAACTTAACTTCTCTGAATTTGAGCTTGTCATCTATACTAGTGAAGTAACATACTCTACTATGTATTTTCAAGAGTAGAATAAATGAGAGTAATAAAGCACCTAATACACCCATTAAGTCCCCTTCCCGGTCAAAGCCTAAGTCTTCTTTGGACCTTCTCAGTGAGTACTTCTTGGTCTAAAGTGTATTTTCTGTACTATCATTTGACTTTGAACATTTACAGTCCTAAAACAATTGCTCTACGTTTGCAAATTTATGTGCTATTTTTGTAACAATGACTATACAAGCACACCTCAGAGATACTGCAGGTTCAGGTCCAGACCATTGTAATAAAGCAAATATCAAAATAAAGCAAGTCACACAAAGGTTTTCATTTCCCAGTGCATTAAAAGTTATGTTTACACTACACTGTAGTCTACTAAGTCTACAATGGTATTATGTTTTAAAAAAATGTATAAATCTTAATTAAAAATACCTTACTGCTGCCAGGCATGGTGGCCCATGTGTGTAATCCCAACACTTTGGGAAGCTAAGGTGGGAAGATCACCTGAAGCCAGGAGTTCAAAACTAGCCAACCTAAAATCAACCTAGTGAGACTGCTGTCTCTACAAAAAAAAAAAAAAAAAGTAATCCCTTATTGCTGAAAAATACTAACAATCATCTGAGCCTTAAGTAAGTAGCAATATTTTAGCTGGTGGCAGGTTGTGCCTTGATGTTGATGGCTACTGACTTAACAGGTTAGTGGTTGCAGAAGGTTGGGGTGGCTGTGGCAATTTCTTAAAATAAAATAAAAATAAAGTTGCCACATCAATTGACTCTTACTTTCACAAAAGATTTCTCTGCAGTATGCAATGCTGTTTGATTTTTTAGCATTTTACCCACAATAGAAATTCTTTCAAAATTAGAGTCAATCCTCTCAAACCCTGCACTGCTTTATCAAGTAAGGTTTATGGAAGATTCTCAATTATTTACTGTCATTTCAACAATGTTAACCAGGAGTAGATTCCTTCTCAAAGAAATCACTTTATTTGCTCATCCATAAGAAGCAACTTGGTGGGGGAAGGAGCCAAGATGGCCGAATAGGAACAGCTCCGGTCTACAGCTCCCAGTGTGAGTGACGCAGAAGACAGGTGATTTCTGCATTTCCATCTGAGGTACCAGGTTCATCTCACTAGGGAGTGCCAGACAGTGGGCGCAGGTCAGTGGGTGCAGCACACTGTGCACGAGCCGAAGCAGGGCGAGGCATTGCCTCACTCAGGAAGTGCAAGGGGTCAGGGAGTTCCCTTTCCTAGTCAAAGAAAGGGGTGACAGACGGCACCTGGAAAATCGGGTCACTCCCACCCGAATACTGTGCTTTTCCGACGGGCTTAAAAAACGGTGCACCAGGAGATTATATCCCGCACCTGGCTCAGAGGGTCCTATGCCCATGGAGTCTCGCTGATTGCTAGCACAGCAGTCTGAAATCAAACTGCAAGGCGGCAGCCAGGCTGGGGGAGGGGTGCCCGCCATTGCCCAGGCTTGCTTAGGTAAACAAAGCAGCCAGGAAGCACGAACTGGGTGGAGCCCACCACAGCTCAAGGAGGCCTGCCTGCCTCTGTAGGCTCCACCTCTGGGGGCAGGGCACAGACAAACAAAAAGACAGCAGTAACCTCTGCAGACTTAAATGTCCCTGTCTGACACCTTTGAAGAGAGCAGTGGTTCTCCCAGCACGCAGCTGGAGATCTGAGAACGGGCAGACTGCCTCCTCAAGTGGGTCCCTGACCCCTGACCCCTGAGCAGCCTAACTCGGAGGCACCCCCTAGTAGGGGCAAACTGACACTTCACAAGGCCAGGTACTCCTCTGAGACAAAACTTCCAGAGGAACGATCAGACAGCAGCATTCGCGGTTCACGAAAAACCACTGTTCTGAAGACACCGCTGCCGATACCCAGGAAAACAGGGTCTGGAATGGACCTCTAGCAAACTCCAACAGACCTGCAGCTGAGGGTCCTGTCTGTTAGAAGGAAAACTAACAAACAGAAAGGATATCCACACCAAAAACCCATCATCAAAGACCAAAAGTAGATAAAACATCACCATCATCAAAGACCAAAAGTAGATAAAACCACAAAGATGGGGAAAAAACAGAGCAGAAAAAATGGAAACTCTAAAAAGCAGAGCACCTCTCCTCCTCCAAAGGAATGCAGTTCCTCACCAGCAATGGAACAAAGCTGGACGGAGAATGACTTTGACGAGTTGAGAGAAGAAGGCTTCAGACGATCAAACTACGAGCTACAGGAGGAAATTCAAACCAAAGGCAAAGAAGTTAAAAACTTTGAAAAAAATTTAGACAAATGTATAACTAGAATAACCAATACAGAGATGTGCTTAAAGGAGCTGATGGAGCTGAAAGCCAAGGCTCGAGAACTATGTGAAGAATGCAGAAGCCTCAGGAGCCGATGCGATCAAATGGAAGAAAGGGTATCAGTGATTGAAGATCAAATGAATGAAATGAAGCGAGAAGGGAAGTTTAGAGAAAAAAGAATAAAAAGAAATGAACAAAGCCTCCAAGAAATATGGGACTATGTGAAAAGACCAAATCTATGTCTGATTGGTGTACCTGAAAGTGACGGGGAGAATGGAACCAAATTGGAAAACACTCTGCAAGATATTATCCGGAAGAACTTCCCCAATCTAGCAAGGCAGGCCAACATTCAGATTCAGGAAATGCAGAGAACGCCACAAAGATACTCCTCGAGAAGAGCAACTCCAAGACACATAATTGTCAGATTCACCAAAGTTGAAATGAAGGAAAAAATGTTAAGGGCAGCCAGAGAGAAAGGTCGGGTTACCCTCAAAGGGAAGCCCATCAGACTAACAAGCAGATCTCTCGGCAGAAACTCTACAATCCAGAAGAGAGTGGGGGCCAAATTCAACATTCTTAAAGAAAAGAATTTTCAACCTAGAATTTCATATCCAGCCAAAGTAAGCTTCATAAGTGAAAGATAAATAAAATACTTTACAGACAAGCAAATGCTGAGAGATTTTCTCACCAGCAGGCCTGCCCTAAAAGAGCTCCTGAAGGAAGCACTAAACATGGAAAGGAACAACCGGTACCAGCCGCTGCAAAATCATGCCAAAATGTAAAGACCATTGAGGCTAGGAAGAAACTGCATCAACTAACGAGCAAAATAACCAGCTAACTTCATAATGACAGGATCAAATTCACACATAACAATATTAACTTTAAATGTAAATGGACTAAATGCTCCAATTAAAAGACACAGACTGGCAAATTGGATAAAGAGTCAAGACCCATCAGTGTGCTGTATTCAGGAAACCCATATCACGTGCAGAGACACACATAGGCTCAAAATAAAAGGATGGAGGAAGATCTACCAAGCAAATGGAAAACAAAAAAAGGCAGGGGTTGCAATCCTAGTCTCTGATAAAATAGACTTTAAACCAACAAAAATCAAAAGAGACAAGGCCATTACATAATGGTAAAGGGATCAATTCAACAAGAAGAGCTAACTATCTTAAATATATATGTGCCCAATACAGGAGCACCCAGATTCATAAAGCAAGTCCTGAGTGACCTACAAAGAGACTTAGACTCCCACACATTAATAATGGGAGACTTTAACACCCCACTGTCAACATTAGACAGATCAATGAGACAGAAAGTTAACAAGGATACCCAGGAATTGAACTCAGCTCTGCACCAAGCAGACCTAATAGACATCTACAGAACTCTCCACCCCTAATCAACAGAACATACATTTTTTTCAGCACCACACCACACCACACCTATTCCAAAATTAACCACATAGTTGGAACTAAAGCTCTCCTCAGCAAATGTAAAAGAACAGAAATTATAACAAACTGTCTCTCAGACCACAGTGCAATCAAACTAGAACTCAGGATTAAGAAACTCACTTAAAACCGCTCAACTACATGGCAACTGAACAACCTGCTCCTGAATGACTACTGGGTACACAATGAAATGAAGGCAGAAATAAAGATGTTCTTTGAAACCAATGAGAACAAAGACACAACATACCAGAATCTCTGGGACACATTCAAAGCAGTGTGCAGAGGGAAATTTATAGCACAAAATGCCCACAAGAGAAGGCAGGAAAGATCCAAAATTGACACCCTAACATCACAATTAAAAGAACCAGAAAAGCAAGAGCAAACACATTCAAAAGCTAGCAGAAGGCAAGAAATAACTAAAATCAGAGCAGAACTGAAGGAAATAGAGACACAAAAAACCCTTCAAAAAATTAATGAATCCAGGAGCTGGTCTTTTGAAAGGATCAACAAAATTGATAGACTGCTAGCAAGACTAATAAAGAAAAAAAGAGAGAAGAATCAAATAGACACAATAAAAAATGATAAAGGGGATATCATCACCAATCCCACAGAAATACAAACTACCATCAGAGATTACTACAAACACCTCTACGCAAATAAACTAGAAAATCTAGAAGAAATGGATAAATTCCTCGACACATACACTCTCCCAAGACTAAACCACGAAGAAGCTGAATCTCTGAATAGACCAATAACAGGAGCTGAAATTGTGGCAATAATCAATAGCTTACCAACCAAAAAGAGTCCAGGACCAGATGGATTCACAGCCGAATTCTACCAGAGGTACAAGGAGGAACTGGTACCATTCCTTCTGAAACTATTCCAATCAATAGAAAAAGAGGGAATCCTCCCTAACTCATTTTATGAGACCAGCATCATCCTGATACCAAAGCCGGGCGGAGACACAACCAAAAAAGAGAATTTTAGACCAATATCCTTGATGAACATTGATGCAAAAGTCCTCAATAAAATACTGGCAAACCAAATCCAGCAGCACATCAAAAAGCTTATCCACCATGATCAAGTGGGCTTCATCCCTGGGATGCAAGGCTGGTTCAGTATACGCAAATCAATAAATGTAATCCAGCATACAAACAGAACCAAAGACAAAAACCACATGATTATCTCAATAGATGCAGAAAAGGCCTTTGACAAAATTCAACAGCCCTTCATGCTAAAAACTTTCAATAAATTAGGTATTGATGGGACGTATCTCGAAATAATAAGACAAACCCACAGCCAGTATCATACTGAATGGGCAAAAACTGGAAGCATACCCTTTGAAAACTGGCACAAGACAGGGATGCCCTCTCTCACCACTCCTATTCAACATAGTGTTGGAAGTTCTGGCCAGGGCAATTAAGCAGGAGAAGGAAATAAACGGTATTCAATTAGGAAAAGAGGAAGTCAAATTGTCCCTGGTTGCAGACGACATGATTGTATATCTAGAAAACCCCATTGTCTCAGCCCAAAATCTCCTTAAGCTGATAAGCAACTTCAGCAAAGTCTCAGGATACAAAATCAATGTACAAAAATCACAAGCATTCTTATACACCAACAACAGACAAACGGAGAGCCAAATCATGAGTGAACTCCCACTCACAATTGCTTCAAAGAGAATAAAATACCTAGGAATCCACCTTACAAGGGATGTGAAGGACCTCTTCAAGGAGAATTAAAAACCACTGCTCAATGAAATAAAAGAGGATACAAACAAATGGAAGAACATTCCATGTTCATGGGTAGGAAGAATCAATATCGTGAAAATGGCCATACTGCCCAAGGTAATTTATAGATTCAATGCCATCCCCATCAAGCTACCAATGACTTTCTTCACAGAATTGGAAAAAACTACTTTAAAGTACATATGGAACCAAAAAAGAGCCCACATCACCAAGTCAATCCTAAGCCAAAAGAACAAAGCTGGAGGCATCACGCTACCTGACTTCAAACTATACTACAAGCCTACAATAACCAAAAATGCATGGTACTGGTACCAAAACAGAGATATAGATCAATGGAACAGAACAGAGCCCTCAGAAATAATGCCGCATATCTACAACTATCTGATCTTTGACAAACCTGAGAAAAACAAGCAATGGGGAAAGGATTCCCTATTTAATAAATGGTGCTGGGAAAACTGGCCAGCCATATGTAAAAAGCTGAAACTGGATCCCTTCCTTACACCTTATACAAAAATTAATTCAAGATGGATTAACGACTTAAATGTTAGACCTAAAACCATAAAAACCCTAGAAGAAAACCTAGGCATTACCATTCAGGACATAGGCATGGGCAAGGACTTCATGTCTAAAACACCAAAAGCAATGGCAACAAAAGCCAAAATTGACAAATGGGATCTAATTAAACTAAAGAGCTTCTGCACAGCAAAAGAAACTACCATCAGAGTAAACAGGCAACCCACAAAATGGGAGAAAATTTTTGCAACCTACTCATCTGACAAAGGGCTAATATCCAGAATCTACAATGAACTCAAACAAATTTACAAGAAAAAAACAAACAACCCCATCAAAAAAGTGGATGAAGGACATGAACAGACACTTCTCAAAAGAGGATATTTATGCAGCCAAAAAACACATGAAAAAATGCTCACCATCACTGGCCATCAGAGAAATGCAAATCAAAACCACAATGAGATATCATCTCACACCAGTTAGAATGGCAATCATTAAAAAGTCAGGAAACAACAGGTGCTGGAGAGGATGTGGAGAAATAGGAACACTTTTACACTGTTGGTGGGACTGTAAACTATTTCAACCTTTGTGGAAGTCAGTGTGGCGATTCCTCAGGGATCTAAAACTAGAAATACCATTTGACCCAGCAATCCCATTACTGGCTATATACCCAAAGGACTATAAATCATGCTGCTATAAAGACACATGCACACGTATGTTTATTGCGGCACTATTCACAATAGCAAAGACTTGGAACCAACCCAAATGTCCAACAATGATAGACTGGATTAAGAAAATGTGGCACATATACACCATGGAATACTATGCAGCCATAAAAAATGATGAGTTCATGTCCTTTGTAGGGACATGGATGAAACTGGAAATCATCATTCTCAGTAAACTATCGCAAGAACAAAAAACCAAACACCGCATGTTCTCACTCATAGGTGGGAATTGAACAATGAGAACATATGGACACAGGAAGGGGAACATCACACTCTGGGGACTGTTATGGGGTGGGGGCAGGGGGGAGGGATAGCATTGGGAGATATACCTAATGCTAGATGACGAGTTAGTGGGTGCAGCGTACCAGCATGGCACATGTATACATATGTAACTAACCTGCACATTGTGCACATGTACCCTAAAACTTAAAGTATAATAATAATAAAAAAAAGAAGCAACTCTTCATCCATTCAAGTCTGATCACGAGATTGGCAGCAATTCAGTGCCATCTTCAGGTTCCACTTGCAGTTCCAGTTCTCTTGCTATTTCCACCATATTTGCAGTTACTTTTTTTACTAAAATCTTAAATCCCACAAAGTCATCCAAGAGAGTTAGAATCAACTTATTCCAAACTTCTGTAATGTTGATATTTTGGCCGCCTTACATGAATCACAAATGTTCTTCATGATATCTAGAATGATGAATCCTCTCCACAATGTTTTCAATTTACTGTGACCAAATCCATCAGAGGAATCACTATCTATGGCAGCTATAGCCCCAGCCCAAAAGCTCCTTCCACGAATAAACAACTTCAGCAAAGTCTCAGAATACAAAAGCAACGAACAAAAATCAGCAGCATTCCTATACACCAACAGTCATCAGGCCAAGAGCCAAATCAGGAGCATGATCCCATTCACAATTGCCACAAAAAGAATAAAATACCTAGGAATACAGCTAACCAGGGAGGTGAAAGTTCTCTACAATAAGAACTACAAAACACTGCTCAAATAAATCAGAGATAACACAAATAGAAATATTATAAATTCTATGTTTATAAATAGGAAGAATCAATATTGTTAAAATTTGGGCCATATTGCCCAAAGCAATTTATAAGTTCAATGCTATTTCTATCAAACTACCAATGGCATTCTTCACAGAACTAAAACTATTTCAAAATTCACATGGAACCAAAAAAGAGCCCAAATAGCTAAGGTAATCCTAAGCAAAAACAACAAAGCTGGAGGCATCATGCTACCCAACTTCAAACTATACTACAGGGCTACAGTGACCAAAATAGCATGGTACTGGTATAAAAACAGACACATAGACCAATGGAACAGAATAGAGAGCACCAAAATGAGGCGACACACCTACAACGATCTGATCTTCAACAAAGCTGAAAAAAACAAGCCATGGGAAAGGACTCCGTATTCAGTAAGTGGTGCTAGGATAACTGGCTAGCCATATGCAGAAGACTGAAACTGAACCCCTTCCTTACACCATATACAAAAATCAACTCACGATGGATCAAAGACTTAAATGTAAAACCCAAAACTATAAAAACCCTGAAAGACAACCTAAGCAATACCATTCTGGACATAGGAACAGGCAAAGATTTCATGACAAAGATGCCAAACACAATTGCAACAAAAGCAAAAATTGACAAATGGGTGCTAATTAAACTAAAGAGCGTCTGCACAGCAAAAGAAACTATCAACAGAGTAAAGAGACAACCTGAAGAATGGTATAGAATTTTCGCAAACTATGCATGTGACAAAGGTCTAATATCCAGAATCTATAAGGAACTTATACAAATTTACAAGAAAAAAAAATACCATTAAAAAATGGGCAAAGGACTATTCACAATAGCAAAGACTCAGATCCAACCCAAATGTCCATCAATGATAGACTGGATTTAAAAAATGTGGCACATATCCACCATGGACTACTATGCAGCCATAAAAAGGATAAGTTCATGTCCTTTGCAGGGACATGGATGAAGCTGGAAACCATCATTCTCAGCAAACTATCACAAGAACAGAAAACCAAACACCACATATTCTCACTCATAAGTGGGAGTTGAACAAGGAGAACACATGGACACAGGGAAGGGAACATCACACACCAGGGCCTGTCGGGCAATTGGGGGCTAGGGGAGGGATGTCATTAGGAGAAATACCTAATGTAGGTGACGGGTTGATGGGTGCAGCAAACCACCATGGCACATGTATACCTATGTAACAAAACTGCACGTTCTGCCTATGTACCCCAGAATTTATAAATTATAATAATAATAAAAGAGTGGGCAAAGGAATGAACAGACACTTTTCAAAAGAAGACATACATGCAGCCAACGAGCATATGAAAAATAGTTCAACATCACTGATCATAAGAGAAATGCAAGAAACTATCAACAGAGTAAAGAGACAACCTGCAGAATGGCATAGAATTTTTGCAAACTATGCATGTGACAAAGGTTTAATATCCAGAATCTATAAGGAACTTACACAAATTTACAAGAAAAAAAAATCCCATTAAAAAGTGGGCAAAGGAATGAATAGACACTTTTCAAAAGAAGACATACATGCAGCCAACGAGCATATGAGAAAAAGTTCAATATTCGCTGGGCGCGGTGGCTCATGCTTGTAATCCCAGCATTTTGGGAGGCCGAGGGGGGTGGATCACGAGGTCAGGAGATCAAGACCATCCTGGCTAACACGGTGAAACCCCGTCTCTACTAAAAACACAAAAAATTAGCTGGGCATGGTGGTGGGCACCTGTAGTCCCAGCTACTCGGGAGGGGAGGCTGAGGCAGGAGAATGGCGTGAAACCAGGAGGCAGAACTTGCAGTGAGCCAAGATTACGCCACTGCACTCCAGCCTGGGGGACAGAGCGAGACTCCATCTCAAAAAAAAAAAAAAAAAAATTCAACACTGATCATAAGAGAAATGAAAATCAAAACCACAATGAGATACCAATCTCACACCAGTCAGAATAGCTATTAAAAAGTTAAACAAAACAAAACAAAACAAAACAGATGCTGGTAAGGGTGCAGAGAAAAAGGAACACTTACACATTGTTGGTGGGAGTGTAAATTAGTTTGACCTTTGTGGAAAACAGTGTGGCGATTCCTCAAAGACCTAAAAACAGAAATACTGTTCAACTCAGCAATCTCATTACTGGGTATATACCCAAAGGAGTATAAATCATTCTATCATAAAGACACATGCACACATACATTCATTGCAGCATTATTCACAATAGCAAAAACATGGAATCAACCTAAATGCCCATCAATGGTAGACTGGATAAAGAAAATATAGTACATATACACCACGGAATACTATGCAGCTATATAAAAGAATTATGTCATGTCCTTTGCAGGAACATGGATGGAGCTGGAGGCCGTTATCCTTAGCAAACTAAGGCAGGAACAGAAAACCAAATATTGCACGTTCTCACTTATAGTTGGGAGCTAAAAAATGAGAACACATGCACACATATAGGGAAACAACAGACATGGTGGCCTACTGGAGGGTGGAGGGTGAAAGGAGGGACAAGAGCAGGAAACATAACTAATGAGTACTAGGCTTAACACCTGGGTGACAAAATAATCTGTAAAACAAACCCCCACGACACAACTTTACCCATGTAACATTTTAAGTTCATGTACCCCTGAACTTAAAAGTTTTTTTAAATGTATTTATTAAATAATAAAATGTGAAAGTTGAAACTACTCTTTGATCCATGGGCTACAGAATGTTGTTTTAGCAAGCATGAAAACATCATTAATCCCTTTGCAGATCTCCATCAGAGCTCTTGGGTGGCTAGGTGCATTGCCAATGAGTAGTAATATTTTGAAAGGCATCTTTTCTTTTCTGAGCAGTACCTCTCAATAGTAGGTTTAAAATGTTCAGTAACCCATGCTATAAATAATGTGCTGCAATCCAGGCTTCGTTGTTCCATTTATAGAGCAAAAGCAGAGTAGATTTAGCATAATTTTTAAGGGCCCTAGAATTTTTTGAATGGTAAATGAGCATTAAATTCAACTTAACGCTACCAGCTGCACTAGCCCTTAATAAGAGTAAGCCTGTCCTTCAAAGATGTGATGCCAGTCATTACCTTTTCTCCAGCTATGAAGGTCATAGATGGCATCTTCTTCCAGTAGAAGGCTCATTGCTATTTCATCTACATTGAAAGCTGTTGTTTAATGTAGCCACCTTCACCAATGATTTTAACTAAATATTCTGGACAATGCTAAAGCTTCTCCATTAGCACTTGCTGCTTCATCTTGCACTTTTACGTTATAGAGATGGCTTCTTTCCTTTAACCTCATGAACCAACTCTGCTAGTTTCCAACTTTTCTTCTGTAGCTCTCTCACCTCTCTCAGCTCTCATAGAATTGAAGAGATTTAGGGCCCTGCTCTGGATTAGCTTTTGCTTTAAGGGAATAGTGTGGCTGGTTTGATCTTCCATTCAGACCACTAAAACTTTCTCCATATCAGCAGTAAGGCTGCTTCATTTTCTTATCATTCATGAGTTCACTGGAGTAGAACTTTTCATTTCCTTCAAGAACTTATCCTTTGCATTCACAACTTGGCTGTTTGGCACAAGACACCTAGCTTTCAGCCTGTCTCGGCTTTTGACATGCCTTCCTCACTAAGCTTAATCATTTCTAGATCTTGATTTAAAGTCAGAGATATGTGACTCTTCCTTTCACTTGAACACTTATAGGCCATTGTAGGGCTATTAATAGGCCTAATTTCAATATTGTTGTATGTAGGGAAATGGGGGGGCTGAAGAGAAGGAGAGAGATGGGAATGGCTGGTGAGTAGAGCAGTCAAAACACATACAGTATTTATCAATTAAGTTTGCCATCGTATATGGGTGCAGCTTGTGGTGCTCCAAAATAATTACATAGCAACATCAAAAATCACTGGTCACAGATCATCATAACAGATATAATAATAATAGTTAGAAATATTGCAAGAATTACCAAAATATAACACAAAAACATGAAGTAAGTACATGCTGTTGGAAACAAGGCACCAACAGTCTTGTTTGACACAGGGTTCCACAAACCTTTCTTTGATCAGTTAAAAAAAATCTAGGAAGTACAATAAAGCAAGGCAGACCTGTAATCTCTTTGTAGTGGGAATCTATTGTATTTTCTATGTAATGTCTCATTCACCTTCTGGTAATCCCAGGACATTATACAATCCTGATCTTTGTATGAGGGATCATGCACTGCTCTGCTTGAATCTATATGCTTCTTGTAGAAGTGAATTTACTACTAATTCCAGGGATGATGCATATAACTCTAATCTTAGTAGTCAAAGGAGCTCATTCCTTTAGTCTTAGGGCTGGCTCAGAAATGGAACATGACTTTTTCAGTGCCAATGGGATCTAGTCTGTGGATTTTGCTATGTATACCAAAAGACAGGCATGTGATTCTTCCAGCTGAACTTGAACCTAGGAGTATATAGGCCTGGAACTCCTTATCACCATCTGGAACCCAAGAATAAATCACCATAAGAATTTAAACCACAATAATTCAATTTCAATAATGGCAAAAAAGTAAAAAAAAAAAAAAAAAGATTTTCCAAAAATAACCTGAATTTGAGGTTTTGAAATAAAGAGATTCCACAGTAGTAGTTCAGCTTCATCTTTCTATAAGTAAAACCTTATTTTTAAATCTCTACTTGAAAGCACTTTGAAGATCAAGGTTTCTCCTTTTGTTAATTATTCATTGTCTTGCTTGTATTTGCAGATGCTTTTGATTTCATTCTATAATCTTCAATCTGAATATATGATTCAACTATGATCCAACCAAATGGAAAATAAAATCATATTTGTAAACAGATAATGTCAGGAAAAGGGAAGCATGAGCACTTTAGGAATAATATTTTTGCCTAAAGAAATACAAAGCTTCAGCCTATATCATACCTATGATAGGTGATCAATCCCCCATTATTTGGCAATTCTCTCAAAAAAAATTTAGATATCTGTGAGAGATCTTACTTAAAAACAAGTATAAGAGAAAGGGGAAGGAAAAAACTCAAACTATTATTTTATTTTTTATCTGTAATCTGAGTAATTCCTTAGAATTATTAAAAAATAATATAGCTTATGGCTTAGTTTTTCAGAAGGAGTTCAGAATAAACTCTTAAAAATTGATTTTTAAATTCTGATTTGCAGTATCTCCTTAAGAAAGTAATTTTTACCAAATTATATAAAGTAGAGATTAGTAGTCCACTTTTAATATATTTGATATTAGAATTATAATCCATCGAACCCCAAGTGCTAAGCCCTACATTATCTCCTATGTAAGTCCGATGATGACAGTATATTCAGGCATTACTTTGCATATCAGAAAATCATTCAAGGTCCTAAATCTAATATAATCATTAAAATAAGATATAAGAATTCCAGTATTTCGAATAGAAAGTAGGAGAGGAACTTTAGGATCTAATATCTTCCTTGGCATATAAATTTATAATCTATAAACAAAATACTGATACATTGATAGAGCAATGTTCTTACACTTCATGCCTTGGTAACTTTAAAGTAGTTACTTAGCACCTAAGAAACTAAAATTCTTTGGTTAAGATTCATTACAGATTGGTTATTCATTCTTTCACTAATTAAGTCCTTATTATTCCTCTCTAGTGCTAGACCCTGAAAATACAAAGAAAAACAAGGTACTGCCCATTAGGAGTTCACAGCCTAATGAAACAAAAAAGAATATAAACAAATCACTGCAGTTTAGTATGGTAAACATTATTACAGAAATATATACAAAGGGACAAGATTTGGAGTACAGAGGCAAGGACAATTATCTTTATCTGGAGAGTTATGAAAGAGTTCACAGAAAAGAAACATTTGATTTGAAATCAGAATGATGAAAAGCCCTTAGAATTGAGTTTACTCTATCAAAGGAGAAGTCATTGTCCTTAGGAACTTTTATTTGAAAGGCAGATGTTTGTAAGAGTATACTAACACAAATCATTTAGGTTTCGTTTGATTGGAAAAAGATGCACATTGGAATTGTCCCCCACCAAGCAAAAAGGACAGTTCACAAACCCTGGGAACATTAAATAAGTCTCAAAAATAACAACCACTTGCCAATTAAGAGCAAAAACCCAGCACATTCTCAGAATGTAGGATTTACCTGCTGTTGCAATGGGGAGAAGGGCAAGGGAATGATGTGAGTAGGGGCCCACACTTTGATCCTTCTACTTTAGGGGCACTACAGGACTCTATACTCTATTTGCAGAATCGCAGGCACCCTTTAGTGATTCCTTTATGGCTGATGCTCGTGAGGTCAGAATCAGAATAGGGAATTGGTCTGAAGAAGGATGGATCTCAAGTTTTCCAAGACAAGGGGACTGGCAGACATCTGTGGGCCCACTTACGCTTGCCCCGTGTGAACTAATTTTTGTACTGTTTTGGTAGTGAAGGAGGTACATTCCCTCTTGACTTAAGACTTCTGAAATAACCCTCTACTTTTCAATTAATCACTTGTTATAGCTCATTTTATAGCATGCAAGCTGCTGAAACAGTGATAATTATAGTTTTTAATTAACCTGGAAAGTTCAGAGGAGCAAGGAAGCAGAATGTGCCTTGGCTCCAGGGCATAAGCCAACTTTACAGACAAGTGATGTTAAAATCTTGCAGTTGCCAGAAGCAACTCCTGGCTGCATTCAGATTTGAGACACCAACATTTATAAGACATTTGACAAACCATTTTTTGTCTCCTCAGGAAATGAGTTTCCTCAATGTCCTGTGAGTATCCATTTCTATGGAAAGACTAATGCACATTTAACATAATCCACTGCTTCTAAATTCATCTTGATATTGTCTACATTTTAATAATCAAACTTAATTAAATCTACGCATTGAAACGTTAAGTAAAAAGATATCTCAATCTTCGCATTTCCCCCTTTTCTCATTGTGTCCACAAAAGAGGAAAAATACAGGATATTTAAGAGACCAGAAAATTCTCCCAAATACTGCGTACAATAATCTTTATGATAGCCAGTTCCAGCTATATTTTGAACTGTTTTCCAGAAATTGTACAGATCATGTGTTGTACACAATTGGCCTTTGGCTTGTCTCACAACATATGAAAAGGAATCCCAGAAATCTTGCTGCCACTTGCTCAAATTCCACTGAATTAATTGTATTTGATCCAATCTGTGTCCCACTAGGAGGCTGAGAACAATGGCCAAGGAGTTTATTCAGGGCCAAGTACACTGTATGCCACATATTATGTATGTAATTTTGAGATTTTTTTTTTTTGAGAGACATTGCCTCCCAAAATGCTGAGGTTACAGGTGTGAGCCATGG
The DNA here is from genome assembly GCF_000001405.40 of Homo sapiens. Taxonomy (NCBI): domain Eukaryota; kingdom Metazoa; phylum Chordata; class Mammalia; order Primates; family Hominidae; genus Homo; species Homo sapiens. Next base: position 97,368,638 of record NC_000006.12, on the reverse strand, counting down.
TGTCTGGCCTGTAATTCTGAGATTAATGTGCTGGGGCCCATGTTCTGGCAAAGTTGTCTTTTGGAACACTTTAGCCTTTTGTATTTAAGGTCAGGCCATAAGGGGAGCATTTGCACTTCTTCAAGCTCTAAACTGACTCTTCTTAATCCAGACCTATCATCTGCAAATGTGTGAAGTATTTTGGGGAGACACAGAAACATCTTAATCTATCACTGGAGAAAACTGCTAATATTTCTGTTGTGTTACTCTCCCATGTAGGATTTAGATTAGTTTCCCACCTGTTGAACTGCAGAACACTGATATGCATTCTGTGGCTTAAAAGTGTATGCAGAAGGCCTGATCCACTTGGGCCTTGGGGTTGGAGTTCCCCATTGGATGGCTTTGACCTCAATAAGCATTTTCCAGGACTTCTTGGAGAAAAGTTAGAGGTTAGGGTTAGGCTCACCCTATGATACCCTCAGATGGGTGCACAAGAAATGACATGTGCTACACTTATTGCTCCTCTGTGGCATCATGAGTTTCCCTAGGGAGGTGATCTATTACCTGGATATCTGCTTTAGCAGCCTGGGGCAGACCAAATTACCACCAGCCTTGCTCAAGAGGCCTGTGAAGCTGATGGAAGAGTTCACACTCCAGAAGTGAAGAAACACAGCTCAGGGAACAATTTTCAGAGGTGGGCTGGGAGAACTACTGAACGACGCAGCTTTAAATCTGACTCCAAATTTCTGTGTTTCCATATATCCAATACTTTTGTGAGTTTATGACTTTGTGGCCACCTAGGGGCATTCAAACTGACTATGGAGTAAAAATGCATGTATATTCTGCAATTAGAGTTTGACTGTTCTTTTGAAATCTTTGATATAAAAAAGTGCAGGTGGAATTGAAGTGCATTTGAATTCACAAGAAATTTTAGCATTACATTTGACACTGAAAGAAAAGAAGAGCTGTAGAATTCTTCAAATTCTCACTTGTAACAGTTGAAAAATTTGGATTGTTGAAAAAAATAGTTTTAAAAGTTTCTTATTTATAGTATCAAGTATTAAAGAAATTATCATTAAAATGTTTTGATCAGAAACTATGAGTTCATTAAAGCAAGTCAAGTTTATTAAAATGTTCAATAACATTTATTTGAAAGTTAGACATACATGCAATTTTGTCCTAATTTTTTTTATTTAGTTCTCCCTTCATTGTTATATAACATAAAGAAAACAATTTTTTCTTAACTAAGCCTCATGGAAATGCTCTTCCAAACCTCCTCCATTTTACTCCTGGATACCAAACAAATACATCATCTTCTATGCATTCTATGATGTAAACATGGTTGAAAAGCACTTTTTGCAATAAATAAACCTTCCTGATTTATACAGTTATTTATGTCTGGCCTAGCCATTGACTGAAAACTCCAACTGACGTTTGTAAAGATAATGGTCAAATCAGTGTGTGACCCAAGTATTCCAAGCCCTCTTCAGCACAGGGTTACTAATGGGATAATATCAATATGCCACACCAGTTTTCACAGTTTGAATATATTTCTCATCTCAGTTCTCAATTATTTCAGAATTCCCAACAGAATCAGTTCCCAATACCTCAGTCACAAATCAGGCAAGTTCAATTTGCAGCTTTGTCATCATTTGTTATTGTAGACCAACATTCACAAACATCTGAGGTTCCATTTGTACCACTCCAGTGACCCACCACTTCCAGGCCACATTCTAGCATCTGAATATACCATTTCTGCTACAAGGTTCCAGAACCACTCCATACAGTCTACTCCCTTCCTAGGCCCATAAATGAGCAGAAATCTTGCCCAGTGTTCAGGCAGCTACCCATATCATTAATGCTAGCCCACTACTCTGCTCAAGAGCTGGCCATCATTCTACCAAGAAATGAGAAACAAAATGGCTTCCTCTCCATTATGTCAGGATCTTTTAGAGGTGCCCATAAGGAGATACTAGGCTGTAGTATCATTTAATTTTACATGCTCATAGACTTTCTCTTAAGGAGCGGAATAGCTGGGTTGAAGTAAGTTTAAATAACAGCAATGACTTTATCCATAGAACCACTCTCCTCTGCCACCCCTCTGTTTCAATGCAGCTCCTTCTTCCAAACTTTCTTCCCTTAACTTGTATTTTCTCCCAGCCTTCTGGGAGTCCCTCTTTAACATTCAACTTCCCCATTTCCCCCATTCTAACACAGTGTATCAGCCATGCCTACTTGAACATCAGTGCTTTTTTCACAGGAAAATTCTCAGAGCCCAAAAACAAAACAACCCATGCAAATATAATGATTCATTCTCTAATAAGATTCAACTGGAACAGTCAATCATGTGTTATCTTGAGGCAAATGTATAAGTAGACAATCTTCAGAGACTATGTATATATAAACATACTCTTTGTTTATAGTAGATACATATTAAAGGTGAAAACTTCCTCATTCCATCTGTTAATGAGAACAAATTAGATGAAGTCCCATTATTCAGATATGCCCAAGTAATACTTAGCAAGCCTTCAGTTTAGATTGTTGACAAAGTTCGTGGTTTGCCAAGCATGCTTAATAAATATTAATGGTGTCAAGTATGTTTGTAAAACTTGTGAATAAAGTAAAATGGTCTTGGTACAGTTCATTATAGTTTTCTGCTTCAGAGCAAAAACAAGTTATATGGCATAGTCCCATGTTGCAAAACCATATTTCTACTCCATGAGTATGCTACAAAAGTATGCTCCCAAATATTTAAGTAAATAGACCCATACATAAGTAAAAATATCAATGGGGGAAGGCAAGCAAATTTTTTCAACCCACATGATCTAAGCATTACTATAAATTAAGTACTCTAGTAATTTCAGACTAACCAAGAGTATTATGAACTGTTAATGATTCAGACACAAAACTGCATGAAAGATATTTTATACCCACTCTAAAAATTGTACTAGAAATGTAAGAATCAAAAAGTCTGAATGAACTATGCTACTAGCATCCTAGTATATACAAGAAATTCTAGACCAAAATCCTCAGCACGGCTTGCCACTTCTTTCATTATCTGGCCTAGGCCTTCTTTCCATCCTCCACCTCCTGTCAGCCATGTCAGCATCCTGCTGTGCTTCTGAGAAGCCCCTGAACACACCAGACTCTTTTAGGTACATTCTTCCTGGAGAGTCATTTCTCTTCCACTCATTTAATAAACTTCAACTCATATCTCAGGTAGCATTGTTGAATGCCCCCTTTGAAGGTTTCTCTGTCCTCTTGTCTCACCAAAGTTATATTAGAGTCATTTGTTTGCATCTCCTCCTTTTCTTTTTGGCGAGTGCCTTGGCATCAAGAACTGGGCCCTTCTTAGGTCAGATGTTTATTTTCTGGGACACTGACTGAGTATATTCCCTGGTTGGATTTGGGAAAGTAGATGGGTGGATTCAGAAAATGTGTTGAGCACCAGTTATGAGCCTAGCAGAGTGCTCAGTGCCAAATACTGTATATACAGCTCTACTTTTTTATAATAATATTAGGGATGTATTAGTACCCAATTTTGCACATATTTCAAAACATTCCAGATGATTAGAGTTAAATGCAAAAAGTCAAAAATGAAAACTTTAGAGATAATACATAAGAATAATTATCTGAACTCTGTGAGAAAAAGGCTTTTCTCCAAAAGTAATGGAGAAAATTATAAAGAAAAAGATTAATTTGACTACATATAAATAAAGGTGTTTTTAAAATATGGTTGAATGAATGAATGCTCAACCTGAAAAGGATTTTTGTTCACTTATTGGTGTTATACAAATATGTCAACAGTACCACGATCAAAAGTTTGGAACAAAAATACATATATATGTTTTGAACATTATAAATGTTCAAAAACTTTTGAAAAATTATTACTAGGGTATACAAAAAATTTTCCTGTAACAATCATTTACCTATTTAAATAGTAATTTCCTGTAATAGTCATTTACTTATTTTCCTGTAATAATCATATACCTATTACCCATAGTTTCTGGGAAATAGTGGGCATTAGTTTAAAATTTACCAGGTGAAGCAATAATTCTGAACCAATTCATTCCCTGTCCCTCTTATGACCATCCAACAATCTGGAACAAAAACAGCCCCTGGCCAAGACTTAACTGATAATGTTAACTTCTTAACATAGTGCTGCTCCAAACAACCCACAAGGATATCAGACGTGTTATCCTTGTAAATAAATGCACATACATGTATATTGGCATATAATTCATGAATATTTATATGCATGTATTTATTATTGTAAGTCTCCTATAGAACTATTATTGGAATTTGTAATGTCATGTTGCCTTAAGTAAAGCCCCTTATAATGAGATAATTCAGCATCTAAAGCCTGTAATATAACATTCAGTAAAGACTAGCTTAGAATTTTGTTCTATGGCAAATAGTATCTTAATAACATACCTATGTGTTTTAATAAATGTTCACAAAAAGTACCAGAGGTTAAACTAAAAACTCATGTTCTTCTGTTAATATAGTCTAATTGCTTGCAAAGGAATTACACCTAAAAGACCTTTGTTTTTAATGTAGTAATCACAGTTTGAATCTTTTAAATGTTCACAAACATTCCACAGGGAAACTAAAGTGCTCAGTGAAGAAATATGTCTTCAAAAAAGGGGAGTATAATGACCATTAAACTCTGTTTTCTAAATTGATTTTCTCCACTTCGACACAGAATTAAGATGAGTTAAATATTCAGTATTAGCATATTACACATTCAGCTAATTATATAGCTCTAATATTCTATTCTAATGGTTGCATTTATTTACACATAACATTGTCCACCTTATGTATTTCCCCTCACAGAACTCATATATTAAACTATGAATGTCCATAAACATTTCCTCATTTAATAGTGTTAGTCTTGATGAAACATCTTCTTGATATTTTGTGATGATATAACTTCACTTTCTAATTATATGCACTCATTTTGCCTGGTTTGTAATATAAAACTAAACATTATTCCATGTACATAGGTAATGACCTTCCCATATCATTAGATCAGGAATACTACTTAATCAAATTAAAGATGTATCTATTACTCTATTATGCTGTTATTGACGGTAGACGTAAAGTAATATTTCCTCTTTATTAAACTCAAATTTTTGGTATAGGAAACTACACAGACAATTTTCATTCCTTTGAAACTAAGTTTTTGTTTGAAGAATCTGACTGCTAAAGACTAGCAGTCTCAAGTAAACATTTGAACATTTTTTTTTTTCTGTTTTGAGACGAAGCCTCGCTCTTGTCCCCCAGGTTGGAGTGCAGTGGCGTGATCTTGACTCACCGCAACCTCCGCCTTTTGGGTTCAAGCAATTCTCCTGCCTCAGCCTCCTGAGTAGCTGGGATTACATGCGCCTGCCACCACCATGCCATTAGTTTTTGTAGTTTTAGTAGACAGGGGGTTTCACCATGTTGGCCAGGCTGGTCTCGAACTCCTGACCTCAGGTGATCCACCCACCTCGGTCTCCCAAAGTGCTAGGATTACAGGCGTGAGCCACCACGCCTGGCCACATTTGTACATTTTTAACAAAACAGATAAAAACTATTGTTATGACCAGGCATGGTGGCTCACACTTGTAATCCTAGCACTTTGGGAAACGAAGCCAGGAGGATCACTTGAGCTCAGGAGTTCAAGACCAGCCTAGGCAACATAGTGAGAACTCATCTCTACAAAAAAAAATTTTAAATTAGCCAGGCATGGTGGCACATGCCTGTAGTCCCAGCCATTCAGGAGGCTGAGGAGGGAGGATCACTTGAGCCCAGGAAGTCCAGGCTGCAGTGAGTGGTGATCACGCCACTGCACTGGAGCCTGAGTGACAGAGCAAGAGCCCATCTCAAAACTACAACAAAATCAACAACAACAAAAAACAACTACTGTTATCATGACTGCTTCCCTTAACACATTAAATTCACGACGATTCATGACTTTATCCTTACCCCAAACTCCTTGTACCTGTTCTGCTTTCATTCCTACTCTGTAACTAAGTTGTCCTAAGGAATAGATGAAGAGGAGGGCCAAAAATCAGACATGGTATTGGAGGCAGGGAAGAATAAAGTGTAAAGGTAGCAGAAAGGTGAGAAACCAGGGAGTCTTTTCTCATAGAATTCTGCTGGTGAAAGAGAGTCTGTGAACCACAAAACAGGAGGTAACGGGCAGAATTTGTTTCGAAAGAAGGGGGATGCCTGAGGAAAAAAGAGCCCCAAAATCGAAGTAAAAGCACCTCTTTGTGGTGATCTGCTATAATAATGGAGACATTTGCCCAGGAAGTATAAATGAAGTCAGTTACACACAAAAAGAACAGAAGGTTGCTAAATTCAAAACAAGCGCAATATTAAACTTACAGCACTTCTGTGTCATGTTCATCACAGCACTTTTTATCAGTAATGAAAACTAGAAAAATATTATTCAACAACAAAAAAATAAGGTCTATTTATATATGCCGATGTGGCAAAACTGCAATATATAATATGAAATATGATTCTATTCATATAAAAATTCTATTTGTTTGTGTGTGTATATATATATACATATTTTTTTTTTTGAGACGGAGTCTAGCTCTGTCACCCAGGCTGGAGTGCAGTGGCGTGATCTCAGCTCACTGCAACCTCCACCTCCTGGGTTCAAGCAATTCTCCTTCCTCAGCCTCCTGAGTAGCTGGGACTACAGGCGTGCGCCACCACACCCAGCTAATTTTTGTATTTTTAGTATAGACAGGGTTTCACTACATTGGCCAGGCTGGTCTCGAACCCCTGATCTCAGGTGATCCGCCCACCTCGGGCTCCTAGAGTGCTATGATTACAGGCGTCAGCCACCGCAATTATTTTTTCAATTGTAGAGGATGTAGCTACTTTAATATTCAGTATATTCTGTGCGTGAAAAAGTATCCTCCTATTCTCATATAATTTTATGATTATAACAAAGCTTATAACTACAATATGACTTAGTAGAAAGGGGTCAGGCTTTGAACTCAAACAGACCAGAACTTAAATCATGGCTATAGTAGATGCTGGCAATATGACCTTGCCAAATTAGTTAACCTATGAATTTTAGTTTCATCTATAAAATGTGCATACTATTTGTCTTGAAGGATTGTTGTGAGAATCTGAATAAATAAAGCGCCTGGCCTGGTGCCCAGAAATGTACAGGCATTCCATAGTTATTGTTGCAATCGCTCTCACTTACATAATCATTCAACAGCCAGCACTTTTGTAGAGTTTACCTGGGTAAGGCCCTGCTCTAAGCACTTTAAATGGACTAATTCAATCCTCTCAACAGCTCTACATGGTAAGTACTATTATTAATACCCCTTTCACAGAAGAGGAAACTGAGACACAGACTAGAAAAGTAACTAGCACAAGGTCTCACAGTCTGACTTTGCACTCTGTGCTCTTTATCACTAAGGTTTGCTGCCACAAATCCAACTCAGTGTGTCTTTTTATAGTTACACATGCTTTGTTAGAATACTTCACATGATTTACTCATGTGGCTACATTATCTGAATAGGCAATAATTTGAGGATTTAGAATTAATGTTTGCATTGTAATAGTTAATTCTACAGTTTTTAGATATATTTGAAAACACTTTGAGCCTTATAATCTGATAGGTGACCATGTTTGCCTAAGTGTCCTGAAAATTATTCAAACCTATTAGTGCACAACATATTCTTAAAAATCATCCTGGTTTAATCATATTTACAAAAGAAATATTTGCACAATGTGTAATTTATATCTAGTAAAAATAAATTGCCAAACACTTTTGTCAAAGCTACTCATGGCAGAGATTGGCAAGAAGAATGATAAAAACATGACCATCAGTCTTCCTCTCATTAAAAAAATTTACATGTTATCATATAAGCATGTATTTTGTAGTTTTAAAAAATTGCAGTAAAACTGAAATACAAGAGTTCCAAAACTACATGAATATGTATATAATAATTTTGTTTTAAAAACAGTAACGGCAAAGCCTTTGTGGTAGTTTCATATAATATGTTAAGCACTTCCCTCAGAAATGGAAAAGTGACTTATCTGCAGATAACGGGAAGGAGAAAGCATGAGGTCAGTGCTCCCCATCAGCAGCATAGCTGATGGGAAGAAAATGACCAACATCTTTAATCCAGAATTGAGCAAGATCTTCCTCTTTATGTATCATTTAAAAGAGAAAATGCCCATATCTTTCCATTCTTTTTGTTGGTCTTTTAAAAATAGAATCATGAGGCTCTTAGAGTCCCCTGCCTCTTATAGGTACAATCCAAAAAGAATTCTAGAAGAATAATGAATAGATTACATATGATTTATCCCGTTCTTGGTAAAAATGGGAAGCAAATTAGTCAGTTCTTCAGTAACAATAAACTTCATACATATCAGAAAATGATCTGCTTATTTTTAGCCACATTGTCTTTAAATAAAGGGGTGGTACATTCTCAGATGCTTCCATGTCAAACACAATACCTAAATGTCATTTCTAATGCTCCCTAAAGCTATTATTTCCTTTGAATTACTTCATAATTGTGTTCCCTAAGTTAGGTAACAAAAAATAATATCAAATATTAAATAGAAGATTACACTTCTACTTTAACCTTTTTTATGATAACTTGTATCACTAGACTTGCTTTCTAACTTTTTAAAAACTTTGTGTTTATTACCAGTGATTCTTCTAAACATTTTTTCCTCATCTCTAATTGTATTGCCCAGCTACTTCTAACTTGCTTTCAGGCCAAGGAAGATTTCAGTGTATATTGGACTACAAAACACCATCAAACTCAAATGAAGACTTTAACTCCAATTTAATCCAGTAACTCTGTCCAGACACTCTCTAAATATATGGTATGCCTATTTTTCCTGAATCACAACAGGATTAGTCCTTCTTCTCTAATGCATATGTTGCTAAAAATGAGCTAAAACCCCCTGGAACTTGCTCTTATTTTTACCAAAAAGAAAAAAAATCAAAGCAGATTTTAGAACAGTGGGTGACGCAGGGTGAAAACAAGAGCTGATGTTCATAAGTTTACGGAACCTCACAGCAGAAGTCAGTTCATTTTAGAAGAACATAGAAAACAGGGAAAATTGCACACAGACACTACAGCTGGTGGAATTTAAGGTGAAGCTGCACCTTAATCTGATGATAGTGTAGGAGAAAGCCATGACAGCTTTATTCTTTGCCTTCCCTAAAACTCCCTTTTGCTTGACACTTAGTTTGGGTCAAGAGGGGCACTTAGAGTAAGAAAATTAGCTTTTCTATTCAAAATAGGATAGCCAGAGTAGGAAATTAGTAATTTTGACTCCTTAGCCAGTCAGTATATTAATAAGATTTATATTTATAAAGGAAAATGCTTGTTCTTTGCTCAAAAAGAAGCTGTCATTTCCTTTCCAAGTTCTCATTTACTTTTGCTTTATACAATCTTAACAAGCATATTTATGCCAGATTAGCATCAGCAAATTAGAATTAGATAAAGTAGATACACTGACAGAAAAATATGACAACTGACAAAGAAGACTGAAAAATACAAAGCAAGCTCAAGAATTTTCAGCAAAGAAATATGGGATCAATTAGCAGGGGCAAAAATAAAATTCGATAGACCCTGAGGTCAATGCAGCAGTACAGTATATAACAATTACCTGAGGCTTGCTTAAATAAGGCAAGGAAGTTTAAAAGGTAATTCTGAAATATTTCTATTTCTTAGTGGCGGGGGGGAATTCTATTACTTAGAAAATGGCTATCTAAAATGACTCATTCACCAGGAATTTGGGGTGCCTAGACTATTGATGCATAGTAATTATAAAGAATGGATCAATATATTTATACAGGACTTTGAGTTGCTATTAAATCTTAGGAAGTTAATGTAATTTTTTTAACTTTGAATATTAAATAATAATAAAAGCACACATAAACCTCTAGATTCGTTTAATTTTGTTATATATATTATATATAATATATTTATAAACATATTATATTATAAATATAAATATTATAAATATAATATATTTATAAATTATAATATATATTTATATCTTTATAAATATATTATTAATCTTTATAAATATATATTATATAATATATATATATATATATATTTTTTTTTTTTCCCCTGGAGACAGAGTCTCGCTCTATTGCCCAGGCTGTAGTGAAGTGGCACAATCTCGGCTCACTGCAAGCTCTGCCTCCCAGGTTCACTCCATTCCCCTGCCTCAGCCTCCCGAGTAGCTGGGACTACAGGTGCCCACCACCACGCCCAGCTAATGTTTTTTTGTATTTTTAGTAGAGACGGGGTTTCACTGTGTTAGCCAGGATGGTCTCGATCTCCTGACCTCGTGACCTGCACGCCTCAGCCTCCCAAAGTACTGCAATTACAGGCGTGAGCCATCACGCCCAGCCAATTTTGTTTTATATTTTAAAACACTCCAGTGTTAAATTGTATACTTTGAAAAGTTGTCTTAATTCTTTGAGATTACTAGGGGTTAACTTAGAACACTGAAATACTCTCGTGAAATTTACTCTCGTGAAAGGGAAAGTTATTTAAGTTAGCATAACTTATTCTATGAATTTCTTTGAAGACAAAGAACATTAGCTTATGGGTACAAAAATCTGGATGATCTGATTATTCAATAATAGAACACAACTGAAAATGCGAAGCTTCTCAGTATGAAGACATCCCCAAAATACAAATTTCTTCAGTTTCTTCAAATTTTGGCTTAAATATAAATGTCTATTAATTCATTGGAGAAATTTTATTTATGTTCAATTTTGTCTGTTACACTTTCATTTAATATTCTTGAGGGGAAAACTCAGAAGCACAGAGTTACTGATTTCTTCTTTATTTATAATTTAATCACAAGCCTAATTGAAGTATATTGGCACCAATGGTTTTATTTTGAGCAGAATAACGTTAGTTTTACAAGGAAAGCAATTTGAATCAGAGTAAGATTTGCTTATATTCTTTTACATTGTTTAGTGAAAATATAATTACAACGATACAAACCTTCATTCAAGAAGCCAATTTGGCAACATTTGAAACATAAATACTTTAACCCAGTAATTTTTCCTAAGGATATGAAGAAGTGAACAAAGATGACCATAAAAGACTGTTTACCTTAGCATTCTTCTTAATAGAAAAAAAGGATAACCTCAAATGTACTAGAAGACGTGAATTTGTTCAACCAATTGTGGCATATCCATATAGCAGAATATGTTAATATGAAATATTAGCTTATGTTTATTTTGAGAAAGATTTCATGATATACTACGTGAGAAGAAACAGATAAAAAGCCATATGCATTATATGATTACATTTTTAAAGGATGTTTATATGTTTAAAAAAATTTCTAAAACATGTCCATTAAAATGTTAACAGTGATTATGCCTGAATATTTATTTTCCTCTTTTTCCTATATTTTCACAATTTTTCAATGAGCAAATATGTAGTCTGTAAACACAGAAAAATATAACTACTGCAAAAAGATTTGTCTTAGTTAATTGTATTATTACACATGTAAATGTCTACTAATTAAGCACAACATAAAGCTGTCTCATGTTATTCAAGCTTAATTTCACAAAATCACTGTCTAATTGACCCATAAGGCTTTTGTTGACTTCACCAAGGCTAATGCCATTTCATAACCTGCTATACATCTTCGATCCTTCCCTTTACCTTGAGACTAAGGTAGCAAGTACCCCCTCACCTTCCATCCTCTCATATTAGCCAACTCCTAAATCCCTCCAGAACCATCTTGAGTGCCTTCTCCTAGGTGAAGCTTCCACTGATCATCTCCCCCTGCAGAGCATCACTGCTCACTCCTTGCACCCACGGACAGCAAGCACACCAATTTGCTGCATCTCCCACTTTGGATTACAATCACTTGTTGACCCACTGTCCCCCACTAGACCTGGAGCTCCTAGGGACAGGAATCATGTCTTATTCTTCTCTGTACTGCCAGCACTTAACCCCCATGCAGCAGAGAGTATGGAATAAATATTCATTAAATGAATTAATCTACTTAGATCTCCTCATTCAGTTTCTCACTGAATTAAATACATTAAAAAGAGAAAAGATAAAACAAACCCCTAGGAACATGTCTGGTACGTAGGAGTTTAAAAAAAATACTTGATTAATGAATAACCATTATTAACATAACTATCACTTAAAAACATTTAGCATGTATTTTCTCACACAATTTGCTAATTCAAAAAGATATATTTGAAGAAAATATATGAGAATTCTAAGACACAAAAACAAAGGAAAATATATTTATATCCACCACTATAATTATATTTGCTCTTGATTCTCTTTTTCATTTGTACAGGAACAATTTGCAAAAGTTGAAAATTACATTTACCCTTCTCAAGAAAATAGGAAGATGAACATGCCTTTTAATGCCACTGATGTGAGTTTACCAGCATCAGTTAACCAGAAACATAAGAAACAGCAGAAATAAAGTTCATAACATTTACACTCTAATTCCACTTGGAAGAACCAATCTTATAAAAAAACCCTAATGTACATTAAAAATGCATTAGTGTACATAAAGCAGCAGTATTCATAATATTTATATTAAAAATAACACAAACTAGCTATCAAATAATAGGCTAACTGCCAAATAATAGAAAATACTTCCACAAAATAGACTATTAAGCAGTATTAAAAATTAGAGTTCTTAATAACGCCAGGAAATTATTTTACAACAATAGAAAGTTAATGAAATCATAACAAATCTATCCAATATGAGCTTAAATAAATAAAAACATAAAGAAGAAAGGTATATATTATATCTACATTGTAACAGTGGTCACTTCAGGAAACTGAGATAATAAATAAAATTTTATCCTGTTTGCAGGTTTCTCTACTACCATGTTTTCAATGATTAACACATCTTACTTTATAATTTGAGGGAAAAACATACATAGAAAGGAGCATATACCCAAAACGTTAATTTTTTATAGCTGCTAAAATTAAGGTTGATTTTTATTTCCTTTTCATGTTTTTTTGCAATTTTCCACAAAGGTTAGATTTATTTTTAAAATTAGAGTAAAACTAAGTACTACTCTAAAAATGAGATGGGATTATTGTTTTATAACCATAAACAATGAATAGGTAGAATACAAGATTTTGGAAGCAGTGAAAATACTCTGTATGATACCATAATGGTGGATACATGCCATTTTGAATTTGTCCAAACCAAAATCCACAGAATGTACACCAAGAGTGAAACTTAATGTAAACTACGGTCTTTGGATAATAGCGATGTGTCAGTGTGGGTTCATTAATTGTAACAAATATACCACTCTGCTGGGGATGTTGATAGTAAGGGAGGTTATGCAAATGCAAGAGTTCTGGGTATAGGAAATATCTCTGTACATCCTTGCAATTTTGCTATGAACCTAAAATTGCTCTAAAAAATAAAGTATTTTAAGAAGTCTATCCTGAATGTATGCAATAATTTAATTAAAATAATTTTCACTAGGATGTTTTTTATAATAAAAATGGTAAGGGAAAAAACCTTAAGGGTTCAATAATAGAAAATTGAATGAATTATTAGTGTATCCATATAATGGGACACTATATATATATATATATATATATATCACTAAAAGTAATAGTATAAGTAAATATCTAGTGGCATGGAAAGATGTTTGCCTAATGTTAAGCTGAATAAAGTGAATTACATAATTGTATTTATGTTAACCTCTTTTTATTAGTAAGCAAAAATGTTTGTATAAAAAAGGAAAGAAAGATTAAAACAAAAATGTCAGTGGTAATTATTATTGGATTGTAACATTGCAGATCCTTTTTACTTTCTTATTTTCTACTTGTTTTAAGTTCTAGATTTTCTAAAACAGACAAATATCACTGTGTATACAAAAAAATTTAAATACATTAAAAAGAGGGAGAAGAACTAAGAAATAGATACCTAGGTATTAACTATACAAAAAAATAAAAAATTCTAAGTATGTTCCAACTTTCAGATGGACCCATTGAATTATTTTACTTCTAAGTCAATACTCTCAGCCATTTTGCATAATCCTGAAAGTCACATAAAGACAGTGGCATTCAACACCAGATATTATATGGAGTGATTCTTAAATTTAGTTAGGTCAAAGCTATGAACTGACAAACAAAACTTAGTTTTCCAGGATACTACCCTAGCTCTATTGATCTCTGGAAGGTATTCTGCTATCTCAACTGTGTCATTGTTCAGCCAATTATACATACTAAAAAAAAAAAAAAAATCAGTTGTGCCAACATTGTACAATGGCAAGGAAAATTATCATTCTCATGAATGGAAAAATTCCTCTTTGAGGCAAGAACAATTTTTATTTAGCAAAATATTGTGTTCAATAACTTTGTGGTGAAAAGACATTAATCAGCATATAACTGAATTGCCTCAAAGTGAGCCAAATGGAGAACTCAGGACTAACTAGCTATTTGGGGATTTTGAAGCAAAAACATCTAGGAGAACATGTAATGGAGTTTTAAAAAGAAACAAAGAGAGAACAGGAACATAAAAAGAGGTCAAAACCCCACTAGAATAGACAATAAAAATTCCTCAGAGCCAGAAATGGTTGCGATATTTTTAAGAAATTGACTATCCAATGTAAAATTTTAGATTGTTGAATCACAAACCTTCATTAAAATTAGCTACAGTTGATACTTTTGATAGCAAAGGGATAGAGACCTTGTCCAGTGGCACATTACAAAATAGAAATAGAGTCAGAAGCAAGAAGCAAAATTGGAGGTAGACACTGTGAATTTAAGAAGCAGGAAAAAAGAGCCAAAAATAATTACATGCATTAACCTCATCCCCAAAGAATCCTCAAAAATGCTGAACATTGTACTAGATAATATATTGGGGGTAGTGACACTAATATTACCTAATATTATAAGACAAGGTGACCTTATGCCTGGGGTTATCAGAGACTGAGAAGTGTATAAAGATAGTAAACAAGTATTTTTGATCTATACCAAAGGCTTTAAGAACATTACCAAATATAATTCTCATAAGAATCCTGTGGTTTTGCATTTCCCATACGATTGAGAATGAAGCCTCTGAGAGTTCCCTACACAAGGCCACACAGTCAGTGGCAGAGCTAGGATTTCAACAGAGGGCCAATCCACCCTAAAGTCTTTGCTTTCCTCTCAAGGATCCATGGTGTAAAGCAGTATTTCTCAACCATGTATTCATACCAGTATCACTAAGAGAGCTTGAAAGAATTACCTAGTCCTCAGTCCCACGTAAGACAAATTAAGTCAGAATCTAATCTATGTAGTTGCAGCTCTAGGCATGAATTTGAGAAGTGCTGGGCTAGAACAATAAATGTTTTAATTTTTTTGTGAGTTTTATATTACATTGCTCAATTGCATATAGTTATAACCATTCTTTAGAGTTTGATATGCATGTTTTTGCGATATATCCACCTATTCACAATTTGAACAATTTTGGATGAATTGTTTGTGTGTGTGTGTGTGTGTGTGTGTGTGTGTGTGTGTGTGTTTGTTTTAATGTGACTCCCAGGAGATACTCCATAACCAATATATTGGGTAGAATTTTAAGGCATTTCCTTTGATTCCCTTTTGCACAATTCTAAAGCACAGCTATTTCAAACACTAGATATCATCAGGGTGGCCTTCAGATGCTTAAGCAAACCTTTTCCTTGTTGGTTTTTTCTCTCATATAAACCTGCCTAATGAAACTACTATACTACTACATATTTGCCAGACTCCAGATTGTTTGGGAATTAGAAAATTTTATCAATGAAAAATAAACCTTTACTGCAGCTGATTTTTGCAGTTTTGCTTTTCATTTACACAGCTTTCTGTTACTTACTGATCATGACTTTGACAAAATTCCACATAATACACCAATGAATGCAGGAAAAGAGACACTGATTTTTCTTCTAATCTCAACTTAAGTATGCCTAAAAACAGAAGGTATGCCAACCTTGTCTTTTCTATAAAACACTAAATTTGAGTCACAGAACTACTACTAAAATTTTAAAGACTCTAGTAATATCTTCTAAAAATATGTAAAAATTATTCTAGCAATTCATAAAAATGTTCCAATTAGATAATTTTGTATTTGCATTTCAATGGCTTGTTTAAGGCTACTAGTGTTCTTCACAAAAAGTCCAATACACATTTCCTTCAAAATGAGCTATAATTGGGAACTACAGAAATCCCTCTTGCTAGTAGACCTATGCCTTGTTTATCTGGAGAAGGGACAGAAAGTAACAATGCTTGAGATCAGCAAGATGAAAACAAATGAAAGAAGTCACTCCAACCACTCTGAGGCAAACAAACCCTCATTTATTCTTAGTGCATGTGCTTGTTATCAGACTGTTACCTTAATCTGGCACCTGAAGTGAAAGGTGCTTTCTATAAAAATAACTGAATGCACTGAGGCCCAAGGCCCATTAAAATTAGTTACATATTAGCCCCTGAAATATAATTAATTGATGCTAATTCCTAATATGCTTAATAGAGAGAACCAAATTTATTTTATATGTCATTTACATGCCAGCACTTCTCAGCCTTTTGGCTAAAATCAAGTATAGTGTTTTATGTATCAGGAATGAGCTTACATCCACGACTAAATTGTTTTGCTGATATCACTGCTCTTGTCCTCATTGCACATTGCATTCCATGGATGACCACATGAATATCAACGACAGTTGCCATGAGAAGTACTATACTGTGTAAATTTCAGGGTTTGTGACAATTTTTTTCTTTTTCCTTCCTTAAGATTTCTATTTTAAAAGTTACTGTCTCAAAAGTTTTCTCCATTACTATAACATATTTTAAACAGAACCTATTATAAACATGTATACACATATGCACATATATACTACACACACATATATTCCTATATATGCTATACATGAATATTTATATTGTGATTATACCTGACTTACGGTCCTATGATTTGTCTGAAGTGAAGATCATTTGACTACTTTTCAAGGTAAAGAATTATTAATACTATGACAATTATGTACCATAGTGTTTCCTTACAAGAATGTATCTTCAACATATATTGCATCGCTTATATAATTTTCTATTTTCTTCTGCAATTTATAGCACTAATTCTGGAAATCATAAAAAGGGGAAAAATTAGGTTTCTTTTGTTTTCTTTTTATATAAAATATCTCCTAGAATGTTTCCCACTTTAAGCTAAGATACATACCAAATTACATTTGTAGTTTATTTTCACTCCATAGTTTTCAAAGAATGTATGATTTGTTTTAGGTTTGTATATACTAGTCACATATACTATTGAAAATTTGATGATGCTATGTCACAAGAAAATAAAAATGTCAAAAATGAATTCATTTTAAAGATTATAGTACATGGCATAGTACAAGATTATAGCTATGACATCCCATAGCTAACAGGGACAATCTTAAAGCTCTCCATAATTGGAGAATATTAGAAAGAAATATAATACCATTATATAAATTATGGTATCCTTTCACCTTTCAATCAGTTAAGGTCATCTTCCTTAGAGAGAAAAGGCATACAAATTTTGTAAGAGTATACCAAAAAAGACATTGAAAATGCTTAAAAAGACATGGAGCACTTAGGTGAATAAAAAGGTTTAAGAAACCTGGAATTTTTGTCTAGTGAAACTACTCTCATTACATGGATAAAACTCAAATCTGTACACCTCTGGCCTCTGTTTCTCTGCTTGTCTCCCAGAAATCTCTCAGATGTTGTATTGCTATCTCAATTGCATGAGAGTCTTGTCATCACTAACATTCATTAAGCATTACTGGGTACTTCATAAATGTTTCTGAACATTATGACAGATACCCTAGGGAGATGCAATAGAAATAGAAAATATGGTTCCTGACAACAAGGAACTTTCAATAGTACTGATTATTCATGCTATATAAATGGACTAAAATAGGGTTTCCAAAGAAACATAAATTAGTGCAAAATTAAAATAGTGCAAATAATATATGTATACTGAGGTGATCCAGTGGGTGATCTAAGTAGGGGAGACAATCAGAATGTTTTGAATCACATATTAAAGGATCAAAAAGACATGGCTTAATGAGCTGAGGAAGGAAAGTTTTTCAGAGGGTAGAAGGCTTAGCTAAAAGAATGGGATAGAAATAAATCCTGACGCAGTGTGGGGTAGAAGTAGAATCTGAAAGACTATGCAACAGGCTATTAGTCTGACTTTTCTCACCTATCTTTTTAAAAATATCACTAATTTATTATCCTGCCGTTATACTCCGGCACAAAATCTCCTAAGCTTTTGCTTTTCATTGACCCCTTTCATGAGAAGAAATACCCTTCAAACAAACTATGCCTCTAACCCAGTTCCTGCTCCATTAAAAACACAAAATTAATGGGAAAAGAAAAAGCTGTTGTTTTTAACTTCCATTTGTCTTCAACAAAATGTCATAAACAAGTTTCGTACTCAAAAAAGTGAAGGCACTGTGGTATCATTAATATTAATATTAATAGGAACCACGCAATGAACTGCCACAGGGACCTTCATAGTCCCTGTTCTCCCCAGGCCCCACTTACAGAATAGAAGCCCCAAAATAAGAATGAAGAAACATTAATTTCCTTTTACATGTATCAAAACCTCACTGTATGTTGCTGATTGTCATTGTAGCAGTAATAGCAGTAGTAGTAAATTATATTGACTATATTTACTATGTGGCAGATACCATTAGAAGCACTTTACACACATTATTTAAACCTAACAGCTACTAATAACCATTATTATTTCCATTTTGTAGGCAAGAACATTGAAGCCCAAATAAGAACTCGCCCTAGGACACACGATGTGTGGGGTGGTGCTTTGGGGAGCTAAATGCAGGCCCCGTGACGTAGAGCACATCCTTTCAGTGGCGACATTTGGCTGCCTCTGCATGTGCCACGTGCTTACCCCATAAACACAAGCCATCCATTTCTAAGTGAGAATAATACCCGTTCTCTTACTTGCCTCTTAAAGATATAATAAGGATTAACACTTGATGTGTGCAAAGTGTTTTGAGTGCTTCATAAAGGCACCCATATGATTACAACTTCTTAATTTCCATCTCCTCTTACACTATGTCTTCAATTATATATCAAATAGTGTGCAATCTTAGAACCAATTGACTTTGCTTCTCTCATACCACATTCAGGTTGTCATCAGTTGCTATTTTATCGTTGAAATATCATCCCTAAAATTCACTTGTTTTATTCTAATTTTTGATGCTTAAACCATCATTAGTCTCAGTTATTGTAATCTCCTTAGAGTACTACATTTTACCTTGTGAAGAGGAAATTTTAATGAAAATTGGGTCCTAATACCCCCCAGGGGGGAAAAAGTTCATGTGTTAATCAAGAAACAAATAATCTCATTCAAATATGCACATTCTTAAGTTGTTCTCAGCTTTGAAACCTGCCTTAAGTCTCAATTCTATTACGTACTTACAGGTCCTCTATATTTTATCTCTGCATTTTCACCTTTAACAATTTCTTAAAATAGTAGAATTTTGGAGATAAAAGGGAACTTAAAGATAACCTAAATCAAACCCCATTACAAACATGAGAAAACCAAGGATCACAGATGGTAATTTGCCCAAGATTTCAGTTAAAATATGACAGAGATAGAATTAAACCTAGGCATTCTGATCTCAGATATATACTATTATACTTCTGATTCACTTACACAATCTTCCACCTACTCCCATGGCCTTAAATACTTTATGCAGATGACTTCGAAATCTTTTTCCAGTCCTAACTCCTCTCCCAGGTTCGTCCTGCACTTCAAACTACTTTCTAGAATTTTAGAAGGATGTTATTATTGAAAATTAAGTTTATTATCTTCCCACCAAAATCTATTATCTCTATTTATCTTGAATCTCTCAATCTTATGAAAGGTGCTGGGTATAATGGACTTCGTTGGGCTCCAAAAGGAGGAAGACGTGGAAGAGATCGTTTAGGTCAGCTCTGTCTCTGACTAGCTCTGTCTCTGGTATTACTTTCTTGGATTCCATTTTGTCTACTTCCTTTTCCAAAACTGATGATGAGTCCAAAATAATTAGATCAGCAAATAGGCCTAGGAGAATGGAGTCACTTGACCCATTCGAGTTAGAAGAAAACATGTGGCTCTGGTGGACTACATTTAGTATCACAGTTTAAACAGGCTTGAGATCCAAACCACAGCTAGTAATAATGTATGCAGAGCATTTGCCTAAAGAATGTCTCCCATGCTTATGCATCTTGGCAAGGTACAACAGTATGAGGTTGTAGGGATATTTGTGCATCTAGGTTCACAGGTAATTTTTCCTCCAGAAGAAACACTCCAGTCTGATGATAATTTCATAGTGGATGGTTAATTGGGAAAAGAGATTACTAAAAAAAATCATACTTTTAGAGCCATGTATCTCAAAACTCTGAATCCTTAGTAGATGTAAGTTTTATACAGCAGATAATAAATAAGAGGAATCTGAGATGGAGTGAATAGAGATTCAGTTTGGTTTCAGTGAAGCCTCTATAAATAGTAGCTACATTCATAAGTGCCCCTACATCATGTGAAGCATGCAGAAATCTGGTTGTGGAGGAGGTAAGAAGTCATTCTGGAAGCCAGGAAAGATTTGTTTCAAATAGATTGAAATCTGAGATGCAGTTTTACCTTTGCTTTAATATGTGAGTTGGATTTCATTACTCCAGCTCATTTTTTTTCCCTCTTAATCTTGTTTTTTAAGAGGGAAGGGAGTGGTATGTTACTAAGATTTAATCATTGTCACTAATTTTGAGAATCCAGAGTGCAGGATTATTCAAAGTGAAGTTTAATGAGAGATGAAAAAGTAAGAATGAATTCTGGAAGCAGAGAGGAGATATGCAATATTTCCAGGGTAAGAAGGTGTTTTTGGTCTTGTGCCTAAACACTGATTTTAGGAATCTGATTTGTGCTACAGCAGCAGAAAACAGAGTAAACACACACAGACATCAAACCAAAAAACAAATTTACTATTAAATAAATAGAAACAATTGCCAGAGCTTTTGAAGGAAATAGAAACTCCCATAGAAACAGTTTAAAAACCGGGTTTTAAAAGTTTTGGGTTTTTTTTTTTTTTTTTTTTTTTTTGACATTAAAGTAAGAATGTTCACAAAGAGGAAAAAAAAAAAAAGAGAAAGAAGCTCAGATCCAAAAGAGTCCTAGATCTGAGCAGGTAGAAGAGAAATAAGTCCCAGGAGTTGGTCTTTTAAAAGGCATATGAAAACCCATATGAAAAAAGACCAAGAACTGTTAAATGGAAATGAAAAAAAAGTGAGGCCTTGCTTCTGAGGAAATGAGATGGCAAAAAGAGATGGTCATGTTGCCTCAGAAGTAGTGAAGTAATCTGAGGTCCACAGAAATCAAAAGCAAGAAAAAAAAAAACTAGGTTTTGAAAAAGCACAAGGGGAAGACCTCATGGTACTCAGGGGATCCCTGAGAGTGCACTTTGGGAAGCACTGGCAATGGCAGCTCCCACTCTGGTCTTTGGATGAAAATTTTAGCAACTGGGTGAAGCCAAGGTATTTGTAGGCAGGGAGAGGGTCTTGATGAGGAAGTAGGGACCATTACAAGACAACAGGATTTCTGGGCAGTATGCTTTAGCATTAAATATGGTTCAGAAATAGAAAAGTAGCCTGAGCATGTTAAGGATCGTTCATGAACAGGAGAAAAATCAAGACAATCAGAATATTAGGATTATAAGGAATGCAAAGTAAGACAGAAAAAATTAAAAGACAATGAAATCTGCAACACTTTTGGTTCAAAACACATTTAAAATTTTATTTGGCTTTTACAATGAAATGATGTCTAGCATAAGAAAATATTGAATAAAGGTAATATAATTATCATCTGGGGATGAGTGGGTAACCATTCTAAACTCTTTATCAGGCTGGAGGCAGCTCAAATGCCTTCCCAAAAGCAGACTCCATGCTCTTCCAACCTGGCTCTTCATAAACATATGTAATGGGTGTCAGAGGAGTTATAACAGATGATGATAGCAATAAAACACTATTACACATTGTCAACATTTTACTATTTCTCTCCTGTACACTTAAGTGCATTCCCATTTGCTTGACTCTGAGAATAATGAGTCAATGAGGTGAAAAAAATGATGATAGAGATAACAATTAATAGATATAATAGGTTAGATGAAAAGAATAAGTTTCCTGAGAAACCTCAAGCCATGCCTGAAAAGCAAGCAAAAGAAGAATAAATATGATTTATAGAAAGAAAAAAAAGCAAATAGAAACAAGATGTTACTTAAATTATAGAAAAATTTAAAGGAAGAGAAAATTTGAATAGACGTTTGAGTGAGACAAAAGGAATTGAGATTTGTAAAGCAAATGAGAAATTTTGTCCATCAAATCTGGTTTGAGACTCTGTATATGATACTTGGGAATAATAAGCCTTTTATGTTCCAAAGCATCCCAATGGCCCATCTTTATTTATTATTTTAATGTTTAAGTATACCAATAAATATATGTTAAATTTATATGTCACATGTTTCATAAAAATAAAGTATCAGAGAAATACATTTCTAAATCCCAAGTCAGGATACATGACTTGACAAAATATCCTGAGTTTTGATTCAGAAAATAGCTTTTTCCAAGCATAAGGGGAAAAGAGTTTTAAAACACTTAATTGAACATGCACATAACCTTTCCCTAAAAAGTAACCCTCCAGAGTTATGTATTTTATACTATACTGTAGTGGACACTGTGCGACCCTGCCCCTTTTCAGGCAGGTGCTCTCATCCTCTGGCTGTTGTGAGTGTAGGTTGATAATAGTTCACAAATGACTCCATTCCCTGGAAAGTACTACGGTCTGAATGTTGGTACCCATCACCAAAACAAACAAACAAACAAAAAACATTCACATGTTGAAACCTAACCCCCAATGCAAAAATATTAAAAAGTGAGTCCTTTAGGGGGTGATTAAGTCATGAGAGCTCTGCCCTCATGAATGAGACTTGTGCCCTTATAAAAGAGGTTGAAGGGAACTGCCTTTTCCTCTTCTGTCAAGTGAGGACATAGAGAAGGCACCACCTGGGAAAAACAGGTCCTCACCAGACAGTAACAGTGAATCTGCTGGTGCCTTGACTTTGGACTTCCCAGCCTTCAGAACCATGAGAAATATATTTACATTATTTATAAATTATCCAGTTTAAGGTATTTTGTTATAGTAGCCTGAACAGACTAAGACAATCACCAAAGAAAGCTACCACACCAGGAAGGCTACACTTTCCAACACTACCGCCCTTGAAACCTCAGCCAATAACTGATAGAAGAGTAAAAAGGACCCACTTACCTCATGATGGGACCAGCTTTTCAGTGTAATTTTCATCCCAGACCTTCCCAATAGGATCTGAGTGAAACCAGTCTCCAGCTGAGACACATTCCCTGTCTTGTCCTACATCCCTCACTCTCCTTCCCCAGAGAACACTCCTTCAATGAGTCACTTGAACAAGAATCCCTCTCTCAGGCTCTGCCTCTAGAGCATCCAATAGAGAATAAGAAATGAGGTTAAAAAATTTTAGGTGTAGACTATACACCTTTTATTCATTACTACTCAATTAAACATGAGCTTTTCATTACTCCTCAAAAAACTTTTACCTTATCTTATTCATAGTGCTTCTAGTTGTAAACTGAGGAGAGCTCCATGTGCCTAACAAACTTCTTAAAGTACTGGCTTGAAAAAAAGTGACAATGGTCTCCACTGCAGAAATGTGGCCTCTTAAAAATAAAAGATGCTTAATTTTACTTCCTTTTACTAATCACGTGTATCTAGGAGCAAATAAATTCTGTGTTGACATCACCTCTCTCTCCTCAAGCTTCTGCATGTTTTACTGCCTCAGAAATCACTTCACATATGATAAAATTAACAGTCATCATCTTCTTCCATGTCTGTTTCCTTCATGCCTCAGAATCAAGCAAAGTTTAATCCAGGTAACTTCCACTGTTACTTTTTTCCAAGTCAACAGAGTCTAAATTTGTAATGACTTTTTCTTTTAATTTATGGTATAATTTATATACTATAAAAATACCCAAATCAGGCCAGGCACGGTGGCTCATGCGTGTAATCCCAGCACTTTGGGAGGCCAAAGTGGGCAGATCACTTGAGCTCAGGAGGTCGAGACCAGCCTGGCCAACATGGTGAAACCCCGTCTCTACTAAAAAAACACAAAAATTAGCCAGGCGTGGTGGTGCAGGCCTGTAATCCCAGCTACACGAGAGGCTGAGGCAGAGGAATCACTTCAACCCAGGAGGCGGAGGTTGCAGTGAGCTGAGATCGCCTCATTGCACTCCAGCCTGGGTGACAGCAAGATTCCATCTCAAAAAAAAAAAAAAGAGTTCCTTCATATCCATTTGCAGTCAATCCCTACTCTCACTCGCAGTCCCAGTAATCACTGATCTGCTTTCTGTCAGGATAGATTTGGCTTTTCTGAAAAACTCCATGTATATATATATGGAATTGGACACTATGTAATTTTCTTTTTTTTGAGAGAGAGTCTCACCCCCTCACCCAGGCTGCAGTGCAGTGGCACCATCTTGGCTTGCAGCAACTTCTGTCTCCTGGTTTCAAGTGATTCTCCTGCCTCAGTCTCCAGAGTAGTTAGAATTAAAGGCGTGCGACACCATGCCCAGCTAATTTTTGTATATTTAGTAGACACAATGTTTTGCCATGTTGGCCAGGCTGGTCTCAAACTTTTGACCTCAAGTGATCTGACTGCCTTGGCCTCCCAGAGTCCTGGGATTACAGGCGTGAGCACCGTGCCCGGCAGACACTACGTAATCTTTTGTGTCTAGCTTCTTTCACTTAGCATAATGCTTTACCTCTTGTATCAGATGGATCAGTTATATCAGATGTTCATTTTTTTAACTGAGTAATATTTCATTGTATAAACGCTACATTTTGTTTATCCAATTGATGGGCATTTAGATTGCTTTCAGTTTTTTGTTTTGCCTGTTCTTGAGCTTCATATAAATTGAAATATATGGTTGTTTGTGGTATTTTGTGTCTGCTTTCTTTCATTTGACATAAAATTTGAGACCCATCCATGATGTTCCAGGTTTCAGTTATTTGCTCTTTCATATTGCCCAGTAGTTTTATGTTGTATG